>NC_000003.12:112796483-113099513 GCF_000001405.40 Homo sapiens
CACGAGATGACCAAGAACCAAGTTGTGAAGAACTGTCCTTGTAAATTAGAGGACAACTTTAATTTTGATCTTTGCTTTGAAGGGAACTCACCCCAACAAGCACATTCCAGTTTTTAGCTGGTTACATTTGTTTTAAAACATACTGATATCTAAATGCTTTGCTAAAAACACAATTCTTCTCATCTTCTGAAACAAGAGAAAAAAAGTCACATAAAATTATGTCCAAATTATTCACATGTAAAAACTTCGCTTGAGCTGATTACATGATTATTTTGTCCTAAAAGAAAATTACATGGAAGTTCAAATTTATCTGAAATGGAGAACTCTATGGAAGTTTCACTACAAGTACCAGTGACATTGATAATTTTAAATCACAATAGTCTTCATACAAATCCCATTGTAATGTTCTTGAAAAGTAAAAACGATAGCACCAAAAATTGTAAAATAGTGATTTGTTTTGTCTACTTGGCATTGCTAATGCTAAAGTCAAGATACAAAAACAATTACAGATAGGGGAAGTTACTTGCAATGCATACATAGACAAAAAAATTATAGCCTGAATATATAAAGAACACCCACAAATCAATAGGAAACATAAATATGAACAATGACAAATGATAGCACAAGAAAAAAATGGCTTATGAACAAATGAAAAGCCACTCAACCTGACTAATAATCAAAGATATGTATTTTAAAATCATGAGATACTCTTTCGGTCCTTCAGAGTAGCAAAAGATAAAAAGTCTAACAAAACCAAATTGGAGATGATATTAAAAAATAAAACCATTAAAGTGTAGGCCAGGGACTATGGCTCATGCCTGTAATCCCAGTGCTTTGGGAGACCAAAGAAGGAAGATTGCTTGAGGCCAGGAGTGTGAGACCAGACTGGGTGACACAGCAAGGTTCTGTCTCTACAAAATAAAATTAAAGTGTAAATTGACACAGCCAATTAGGAGAACTGGGAGTTACGACATTTTACATCTCACTATGTACATGTTAAGAGTTTTTTTGTTGTTGTTTTGTTTTGTTTTGTTTTTGTTTTTGTTTTTGAGAAGGAGTTTCATTCTTGTTGCCCAAGCTGGAGTGCAATGGCTCCATCTTCACTCACTGCAACCTCCGCCTCCCAGGTTCAAGCGATTCTCCTGCCTCAGCCTCCCAAGTAGCTGGGATTACAGGCATGCACCACCACACCTGGCTAATTTTGTATTTGTAGTAGAGACAGGGTTTCACCATGTTAATCAGGTCAGGCTGGGCTCAAACTCCTGACCTCAGGTGATCCACCTGCCTCAGCCTTCCAAAGTGCTGGGATTACAGGCATGAGCCACTGTGCCCAGCCTCAAGAGTTTTTTACAGAGATAATCCTTGAAATAAAATTGTTCAGAAAGAAAACTCAATTTTAGTAAATATAGCTATATTTACAAGACAAACTCTTGATATATACATAATAAGACATGTAGGATTAGCAGCATTATGTATCATAGAAAAATTGTGGAGAATATCCATCAATGGTAGAATATCTAAACGAATGGTGATATATTCAAACAATGGAATATTATTTAGCAATGAAAATGAAAGAAGAACAGCTACACACAGTAACATGGATAAATACTTCGGACATGATGAGAAGAAGCAAAACCTATAAATTTCAGGAGAATGAACACATATGAAACCATTTATATAAAATTTAAAATATGCAAAATTTAAAAATATATTTTATAAGGATACAAATATATGTGGAAGCTATAGAGAATTTCAAGACAATGACACACCTTGAGTTCAGGACCATGGTTATCTGTAGAAGGGAGAAAGGAGATGAAATCAGGGAGGGGCACATAGAGGGCTTTAATTGGGTTTGTCAAGTTTTGTTTCTTAAGCTGAGAAGTTGATGAGGTATTTCTCTTTTACTGTTTACATCTTTTTTTAAAAACAACTCTATGGGAAAAAATCTAATTTGATAAAAAAAAATGGGCAAAAGATTTAAATAGGTATTTCTCAAAAGAAGACAAACAAATGGCAAACAGGCATATGAAAATGTGCTCAACAGGCCAGGTGCGGTGGCTCACACCTGTAATCCCAGCACTTTGGAAGGCCTAGGCAAGTGGATCATTTGAGGTCAGGAGTTTGAGACCAGTCTGGCCAACAGGGTAAAACCCTGTCTCTACTAAAATTACAAAATTAGCCAGGTGTGGTGGTGCATGCCTGTAGTCCCAGCTACTCAGGAAGCTGAGGCAGGAGAATCACTTGAGGCGGGGAAGCAGAGGTTGCAGTGAGCTTAGATCCTGCCACTGCACTCCAGCCTGGGCAACAGAGCAAGACTCTGGCTCAAAAAAAAAGAAAAAGAAAAACGAGGAAAAAAGTGCTCAACATTATTGATCATCAGATAAAAGAAAATCAGAACTAAAGCTATAATGAAATACCATCTTATGCAATTAAAATGGCTTATATCCAAAAGAGAAGCAATTACATTTTATAAATTTTTAAAGGTACCCACAGAGACCAACACCCTCTCTCCAAGTTGGCAAAGTGAAGGGCTGCTTGTCAGCTTCTGAATGCATCTCTTCCTTTTGACCATGGCTGTGACTGAGCTCCCAAGAACTTCCTTTTCAGATAGAAGAATGAAGACAATTCTGAAGCCCATTTGGGAAGAATGAGAAACTCTCCCAAATTTTTACCCTGAGCTCCTTTTTCAACAATACTCAGGAACCCACTAGTGTGGATTCCATGCTCTGCCCTCAGTGTGGGAGCTGGTGTGAAAAGGAGACCTAACTTTTAAAGGCAGAGATAGATTTGGGTTTGAATTCTAGCCTTGCCACTTTCTAGCTTCGGCTTCTTCATCTATAATATGGAACTAATAAGACAAACCTACTTCACTGGGTTTTTATGAGGATGGAATTAGTTACTTCCTATAAAATGCCTGGTATACGTAAACACCCATAAACAATGTTTTCATCATTCATACAAGTTAGCAGTCTAGGAAAGTAGTCTGTTATTATTCTCTTTCTTGCTCTTTTTTTCTCTAAGATGTCTGCCATTTTCAAATTTGCCCTGTAACTATATTCTTTCAAATTCCCTTTCCTGAGGTTTATGGTGACATGCATCCTAATTCACTGTTAGACAGTCAATTTGCTAGTTATTTTTAAATGTAGAAAAAAAGAAAAATATTAAAATGTTCTACTTATTCATGGTTCTTACTCCCTTAAAAGCACTAGTGGAGGTCATTAAGACCATTACCTCAGAGTGCTCAGACATTACTAAAACAAATTACTCTGGGTCAGTATAAGGAGAGCCTTAACACTCATTCCAGTAGAGGAGGTTAGGAGGCCCCCTGAGAAGAAGCGAAAGAATGGATCTCTTGTTGGCTCACACATGACATTATTTAGAAATGGTTTGTTTTTCTAATATGACCAGATGGCTCCCAGCCACATATAAAAACACTCCAAGCTACACTGATTCGCTTGACAAGTGTCCTACAAAATGCAGTTAACCTAGACTGAAGGGCATGTGTCTATTTGGGGGTAAACCTTATTCAAGGTTTGTATTGTCTGCTGATGAGAGCTCTTCCTTGAGAATATTAAAATACCAATGTTAGAAGGAAAAGCACTTAGTTGAGCCAGAAGTTGTAGGTTTGCATATTTACTCCACTACTTCCTGGTGAGGTGGCATGAGTAAACTGTTTAGTTTCTAGGCCTCCCTTTCTTCATTTGTGAAGCAGGGATTATAATACTGTAACTCACAGAGTTCTGATAAGATTTAAGGGAATATTATGAATGACTCTGGAATGGAGCCAGATGCCTAGGAAGCACTCAAAGATATTAGGTAAAATATCAGCTGACAGTAGATCAACTTGGACATGTGTCTTCAAATTTTATATCCAAATTTCAAGATGGTAGGGGACATAATGGAAGAGAAAAAAGTTTTAGATTTTCAGCCAAGGAAAAAACGAAATTGAACTTGCTACTGGCTGGGTGGCTCTGAACAAATTTCTCACCTTTTCTGAGTCTTATTTATTTATTTTTTTTGTAGGTACATAGTAGCTGTATATATTTATGAGATACATGAGATGTTTTGATAGAATTCTTGCAATGTGACATAATGAGTCTTATTTTCCTAATGTACAAAATGGGGCATCATAGTATCTTCTCTCTCTACTTTCTAGGATTGTTGAAGGCTAACAAATTTCATCTTTGTGTATCCCCAACCTTCACATTCTGCATGCTTTCTGTCTCTAAAAGTAATTACCATTGTTAAGCATGTATTTGTGTTTTCTCAAATTACTAACTTCTGATGGAATAGATAGTCTTTTAAAAATTCAGTGGAAGAATTCTAGCTGGGCTTTGGAATTCTAGTCTTCTCTAAGAGAGCACTTTATATGTAAAGGCAAACAGCAACTCCACAACAGTACACTAGTAACAGTAATGATTAGGATAATTATTTCTCTGGAGAAACACCACTGTCTTCTGTGACTTTATGCTTGCAAGTTCAATCAGATGAAACAATTCCATAATAGTTTAAATCCCAGAACTACCTTTACTCAGAATCTGAGTAACAGTTTCTGAATACTCTAGAAATCAAATGTTATAGCCACTTGGCTGCATTGTTGGGTAAATCAAAAGATAAGGCCTGTAATAGCCTGAGTTCTTGAAGGGTTCACACTCAGTGAGTTGCGTGGTATTCTAGCACATGGGGTATGCATGGAAATTTACATAATGTGGCTTGGAGGAAAATAATTCTTGTTAGATTTTAGTTTGGCTGAATGGGAAATAGCCAACTTTATTGTCTTATCTCCCTTTAAAAAACAAACAAAAAAAATTTCTTTAATGTTTATGTTATACATGAATACAATCTCACTAAAAAAATAAGTTCTATGGATAAAGTTTATGTCTCCTTAATCACTACTCCCCTTCTTAAAGGTGACTACTATTACCAGTTCACTGTGCATCCTTCCAGAACTCTTTTCTCTGAATTTCTTAGCACATATGTGTGCTATAGAGCTATATAGTTTCACAAGTGTGTATTTGTACATAAATAATACAAATTATTCTATGACTAGCTTTTTACTCTACAGTGTGTATTAAGGGGGAATTCCATGCCAGTTTGCAGATAGCCACCTCATTCTTTGTAACTGTTGTATACCACTCTGTAGCATGAATGTGCTACTTTTTTTTTTTTTTTTTTTTAAGACAAGGTCTCCCTCTGTCACCCAGGCTGGAGTGCAGTGGCGCGACCTAGGCTCACTGCAACCTCCGCCTCCTGAGTTCAAGCAGTTCTTCTGCTTTAGCCTCCCCAGTAGCTAGGATTATAGACACCATGCCACCACAGCCTGGCTAATTTTTGTATTTTTAGTAGAGATGGGTTTCATCATGTTGGTCAGGCTGGAATGTGCTACCTTTTGTTTAACCACCTTCCTACTGAGTTACAAGTGAGTCATTTCAAATATTTTGCTCTTATAGATACTGTTGCAATGAATATATTTGTTCATACCTTCTTAGGTACATGTGTAGATATGAAAAAAGTAATTACTGATCTTAGGATATACACATTAAAAGCTATAACCCTAACAAATTACCTTTCCACATGCCTGTCCCAGTTTATTCCCTCATCAGCAGTGCATCATGGAACCCATTTCCCTGTACTTTCACCAAGATTTGATAGCAAATATTTCATTTTTGCTTAATGAGAACAAAATGTTATCTTATTGTGGCTTTTATTTGTATTTATTAGATTAGTAGAAATATATATTACCTTTTCATGAGTGTATTGCTTATGTGTATTTTTCTTCAATAAACTACCTGTCAATATATACATAAGTCTTCTCTAGACTTTATTCTTTGAATCTATTTGCATTTTCCTGCATAGATGCCACATTTGCTTAATTACTCTAGCTTTTTAATATGCTTTAATATCTTGGGAAGGGGACTTTTTTCCATCTGTATAGACCATTTTACTTGCAAATTACTTACACAAGGAAATATCTAATCTCACATTACACTTGTCACCAAATGATAGACACTAATCTCCATTTCTTAGAAATGAGGAAATAAAACCACAAAATGTACAAAGTCAGATCTAAAACCCCTACCTTTGGGTCCAGACTTTTCTTCTAAAGTTCTGCAGTTATACCCAGATGCCACAGAAACATAGGATCTTAGAGGAGAAGTAACTTAGGTAAGATTATCTAATCTAAACTCCTCCTTTTACAGATGAGTAAATTAAGGTGTGGGAAAGCTAAGTACCTAAAACCTAGCATTAGAACACAGATCTTCTGGTTTTTGGTCAGTTAGGTTTCTATAATGGCAGTATTTCATTAACAAATTCTAGTGGGTTTTTTTCCCTATCACTGTCCTGAAAGAGGAAAAAAATTTAGAACCATTGTCAGACCTTTAGTTTTTTTCAGTTTTTTAATTATGAAATAAAGGGAAATAAATTGTTAAAGTTGAGACTGGGCACATACGAGTTCAAACTCAAGAGTCTTTTATATGTTTATACCAACTCTGTGGGAGAGACAGGGGGAATAAAAGCATTCTCAGTTACAATAATGAATATATTCTGTTTATCCACTGCCCACCTCCTGGATGTCTCAAGCATTTCATGGATGGTGCTGCATCTGTAAGCGAGGATGGACAAATGTGTCCAGAACAAGCAGTTGTAACTATTGTGAGGCCCCATCTGGAACAGAAGGTGATTCAATCTCTTCCTTTGATTGGAATCTTTCATACTTTATTTTTCAGCATTCTGAGCTAGGAAACATGTGAATACTGAATTTCAACAGCTATCTCATTTCACCTGATAGTACTTTTCTTTGCCTAGGCAAAGGAACAGAACAGTTTAACCTGCATCACAAACTTCAAAAGAGTTGTAGCTACTCCTGGAAAGAGAGAGATAGGAGGCTGCCCATGCTTCAACATCCTCTGGATTTTGAGCCAGAATGAAAACAAGAAGAAAACAACACTTGAAGTTCTGACTTAGTCTGGGCCCACAGTCTCAGATCCTTTGAGTTACACAGCAGGAAGGAAAGAGTCCCCTATGGGGTCATGAACCACATCGTCTGATTGAATAATTGGTGCTTATTTCTGGGTCCTCAACTTGGCCATCTAACAGCTTGCATGTGCTCCATTTATAGTCCTCAGGCAAATTCTTTAAGCTTTTGGGTTGCATTTTTCATTTCCATTGGTTATAAATAATAGGTCAGGACAGATGTCTTTAATAGCCTAAGATCTAAAACATATGTTTGTGCAATGAGACCACAGAGGTAGAACTATAGAACCTGAAGCCAATTTTATTTTTAGAAGAGACTTTAGTTGTCTGTTCAACATATTTATTTTAAACGTAATTTTTGTTCATCCAATATGTCATGCTGTTAAGAAACATACCAGATAAGAAGGCCAACCTCCTGCCCTCCAGGAGTACATAATATCATTCCTCAATGCTCGTTCTTCATGCTCAAAGAGTACCAGATTGAAGAACTGGAGGTCCCAAAAAAGGTAATAGGAGTAAGGTGAAGTTGAAGGGGAGCACACTTTCCCTTCAGTCAGTCTCAAGCCAGTGAAAAATCCCTACCAATTTTCTTCAGGCCCTTCAGCAGGAATGTAGAATAGCTGTATGGACCTCTCAACTATACATGATAGCTTTGGTCTAATTTATAAAAATGTTCCTTTGTTCCCTCTGAGACTGCAGTTCTCCTATCTGCACACACACTTTCCTGACTCTGCAGCAGAAACTTAGTTACGAGACCCATTTCTTAGGTCACCCTGTCTTCCTCTTTGGGTGAAGAAGTTTCCTTCTTCTCAGATATTCCTCCAGTGAATTTTATGTCATTCTTCACTAATTTTGCAGACACTTTCCTGCTCCTTCTGGAGATTTCTGGTCCTAGAACAACTCCACTACTATGTCTCCTTCCTCTTCTTCTTCTTCTTCTTCTTCTTCTTCTTTCTTCTTTCTTCTTCTTCTTCTTCTTCTTCTTCTTCTCCTTCTCCTTCTCCTTCTCCTTCTCCTTCTCCTTCTCCTTCTCCTTCTTCTTCTTCTTCTTCTTCTTTTCTTCCTCTTGTTCTTTCTTCCCCTTTTCTACTTTCTACAAAAATAAGATGTAAGAGATAATGATGTTGTGGAACAATCTGAGTTAGGATCTTGTCTCCACCACTTAATATTGGAGTTTCAATGTTCTTGACTGTAAAATAGATTAAACGTTAACACCTACCTGCCTCAGCAGATTGATAAAATGATTAAGGTATGTGAAGCAGATGCCTCTATAAGTATTGGCTCCAGTCTCCTTTTTAAATCCCAAATTGCTTTTTATGCTATATACCATCCAACTCCGGTCTGTGGTCATCTTTCTTACTTTTAAAAAAAGTGTTCTTGGCTTTAATCCCTGAATTTCTCCCTGGACTAATTTTCTCTGTCCTGTGAGCATTGCCTTCAGTTGGCCGAGCCAGCTTTGTCTCCAGTGATGTTCAGCTTTCTCCACCACTACTCGCACCACTAGGTTGTTGTAAACTGTAGATCATAGGACCATCTTCTAAGACATCCCCATCATATACCTCCTACAGGTCCTGTGATATGTTGATTAGTTGCTTCTTTATTGTGATGGGTAAAAAGGGAACCCTGATTTGCAGTGTGGTGTAAGTATTCTTACTATGTCCTACTTCCAGCTACCAATGGTTTAATGATCAGCTTACAAATATCCTGAATATTTAATAATAAATCTTTCAACCTATCAAGAGCTAGCTCCAGCATACAGCTGGCAGAGGTTCCAGCTAAATGTTCCTCTTGGTTCAAAGGGATCTCCTTATAACTCTGTAACTATCAAATTTCACAGGACCTTCTACTATGTCTTGCCTCCACCCTTAGTTTGTAGCCCATTTGCAGTGCTGAAATGATTGATATACGATTGAACTCAGCAAATTCCTCAGCTTTTCCTGGACTAGAACGCCTCTCACATCAGACGGTAAACCATTGTCTCTGCCCCGAAGAATTTAGTTATTGGAACGGATTTTCTTTCTTTTCTTCTTTTCATCTTAAATGTGATGTTATTTATTTAAACCCAAAGAGACACATGCTGTAGGCTCTTTGTGTCCCCCTAAAATTCATGTGTTGAAATCCTAACCTCCATTGTGATAGTATTAGGAGGTAGTGCCTTTGGGAGGTGACTAGGTTATGAAAGCAGAGTCTCTTATAAAAGAGACTCTGTAGAGCCCCATTGCCCCTTCTCCTGGAGAGGACACAGCAAGAAGATGGCTGCTCATGAACCAGGAAGCAAGCCCTCAGACACTGAACCTGCTGGATTCTTGCTCTTGGGCTTCCCAGCCCTCAGAACTGTGAGAAATAAGTTTCTGTTGTTTATAGCCACACAGTTTATGGTATTCTGTTATAGCAGTTATAGCAGCCCAAACAGACTAAGACAGGCATATATACAAATAATTTTACTTACAGCCAAGAAAGAGAACCCTGTCAAATTTCTCTCCATTTCTCAGTTGATCTTGTGAGAGCAGCAGCAGAATGAGAAGAAACTGAGTTAAACTCATGAGATTAAACAAGAAAAAGACTAAGACTTGTCCTAAAGCATGCAAAACAATGATCTTTATCTTTTAAGCATCATTGTCTAAAACTGCATGATGAAACACAATTCTAGATGAAAAGAATCTAATACTTTAAAATACTTTAAAAACTTTCCGAGCAGCCAAATGATGCTCAAAAAGAGCAAATCTTCTTAATTTTCTAATTTCTCATTTTATTCTGACAATTTTTGGAAGAGGATCAGAAAGTATCTTTCAATAAAGAAATTCCAAATTGGCCTTAGTTAAAAAAAATTCTTGACTCTTTTTGTGACACATTTGAATTTCTGGGTTTTGTTTAATCATTATAATTTAATGGATTCAACAAAGCTTTTGGGCTTCAAATCAAGTGATTATGATAACCTCCTTTGTGTCTATATATCCCAGAGTCACATGGGTAGTGGATCCATTTGAATCCACTACCTTTGTGAAATGAACTAGATAATTCACAAATTTCTCTTTTGCTTTGGCTTAAGTCTGCCAGCTTCCAGTGATCCTCTCCTCCTGGTGTTCATGCCCCAATGTAATTCTTTTCTACACTGATTAGGAATGACTTGTGTTACCAGTAGAATACTGTACAGAAATAGAAATGGCGTGTTTTTTGTTGTTGTTGTTGTTGTTGTTGTTGTTTTTTTTGAGATAGTGTCTCACTTTGTCACCCAGGCTGGAGTGCAGTGGCACAATCTCGGCTCACTGCAGCCTCTGCCTCCTGGGCTCAAGCGATCTTCCCACCTCAGCCTCCTGAGTAGCCAGGCCTATAGGCATGCACCACCATGCCCGGATAATTTTTCTTTTTTAATTTTTATAGAGATGAGGTCTCACTATATTGCCCAGGCTGGTTTCAAACTCTTGGGCTCAAGCAATCCTCCTGGCTCAGCCTCCCAAAGTGCTGGGATTATAGGCATAAGCCACTGCACCTGGTTGAAATGTCATTTAAAAAAACATTGCAGCTTCTACTTTCCTCTCTCTTGGATCACTGACAGCTTCCACATCATGAGAGCCCCATGAGAGCATTCAAACAGCCCTATGGAGAGGTCTATGTGGCAAGGAACAGAAGTTTCTGCCAACCCTAGTCATCTACAGTCAGCACATGAATAAGCCGTCTTTGAAGTGAATCCTGAAACCCAAATCGAGCTTTCAGATGACTGCAGCCCCAGCTGACATTTTGACTGCCGTGTCATGAGAGCTCGAACCAGAACCAAACAGCTAAGCTGTCACTGAATTCCTGACCCATAGAACCTGTGTGAAATAATGCGTACTTTTATTTTAAGCTGCTAAATTTTTAGTTAATTTGTTATGCAGCAATATAAAACTAATACATTTAGGTAGAAATTTAAAACCCAATATTAAGCGAGCCAGTGTTTTATAAGCCTCTCAGGGTCTGTAGGTGCAAAAAGATTCCACTTTAATCATTGTGATAGACAATAGTGAGTTTTTAAGACCCTCTTGGCCTTTGAACTCCCCTTCACTGTTTATGAATTCTCTACCTTCTGGGTCTTGGTGAGAGGCTGAGCATTTTCTTTCATCCTGGACCCAGAAAAGGCAAGATGTGCACTTGCCAGCCTAGGATCTTGAATCAAGCAAGAGCTAGTGATGCAAACAGGTGGACAATGAGAGGTGGAGCAGTGTCCAATGCCCAGTGGCCATAGTGACAGTAGAGTAAGCTACAACCACGGAGATTCCATGAGCTACCTTATATTCCTTAATAAATGTGTTTTGTGCTTAAATCAGCATCTTCTGTGTGCATACTACATCATGATGGGTGCAATCGAAGTCACAATAGAAGAATCAAACACATCAAACGACTGTTGTCAACAGTAACTACCTAAGAGAGAGGATGACCTCATTCTGGCCAATTGAATCTGTCTTCAAAAGCACAAGTTAATTGACAGGAAGAAGCTGAATCGCAATATGGAAAAATAAAGGTTAAAAGGCACCATCTCTAAGAGAAACCATTAGAGATAAGCATCAGTACACCTAGAGTCTGAGATCCTCATGCACTGGTGATTTAAGAATGAAATGTTTTACAAAGTCCAAGTTATTTTCCTTCAGTAGCTTTACATTTAAATTTGTATTAACTTACCAAAAATAATTTCAAACCTTTTATGAGCTTCAAGAACAGCAGGCAACAAGATATGAAAAACAAATTAATTTTAAGTGAATACTAGTTAGAGCAATGACACTTAGGAAATAAAATTTAACTTGCACACAATTTAACACGCTTGGAATTGAAACCAGCTATAAAAGTCTGAGATGGTCATAAATATCAGATTTTTATATCGTTTTCCCAAATAATTAAGAAGGCATAGCCATGACAGAACTTGAATTTAATGTTTCATCTTTCTCCTCATATGCCTTTGATTAATTTTTGAGTTACAAAATTCTCATAAATTTTGATATTTAGGCTGCTAAACAGATCTGTAGGCAGGCCAGAGAAATACTACAGGAAGAAGAAACAAAAGGGCAGAATCACAGCTTTTTGCAAACAGTATTTGGCCAGCTGCATCCCAGCCTCATTTGGATCTACTCTTAATAGCCTGTCAGCTCTAACCTCAGTCCCTCTCCATGGCCTTAGCAACCCCTGCAACTGTTACTCTACCTTTTGGCAAGAAAGTATGTTGGATTGTTTTACTTTTCATTTTTTGGAAATATTTATTCTTAATAACACAGAATGCATGAATACATTCTTGGTACAAAATTCAAACATTACAGAGCAAGCCCCTCTTCACCACCACCCACTGTCAATGCTTGCAACCTTCCAGACATTTTTCCAGGTTCATATTAAACTACATACATACAGGTGTAAAAGCCTGGCCTCAACTCTGATTTGTAAGAAAAATTATTAATATTTAGAGGATGTATTCTAGCTTCATGAAAAAATTACTCCTAGTCCATCAACCCCTTCTATTCTCCCTTCCATCATGGTTGCATCTAAACTTGGTAATGGTTAGAAAAGTATCTGGTCCTCTAAATCATCTGCGCCATAGGCATTTAGGAAGAAAACTCTTGTTCCCATCTTTTCAGCTGTTTAGAACTGGAGACTACCTTTGCCACATTAAGGCTGGAAGATTAAAAATCAGTCTTCTATCTGTAGTGCTATTATAGCAAGAGAATTCCTGCAGTGCCATCCAGGTTCTTAGCTGCTAAAACTCCCTTTGGGGTCTTTCACCTTCTGGGTACTGCCTGGGAGAGATAGCTTCACTCAAAGGAATCCACAGTCCCATTGCTTGCTCCATTTGTCCTGTCCTCTCAGTTCAAAGAATTTTTGTTTTGTTTTGCTTTTTAGGCTCGGGGGTAGGATGGGAGAGAAGACTCAGAAATCCCTCTGTTCCCCTAAAGCTTGGATGCTTTTAAAAAGCAGAGGTAGGAAGAGACATGTAGGTGATATTTCCACCTTTTGTCCACTTACATCTTTCTGCTGAGGTAATGCGTCTAGAATAGCCACGTTAGAAACAGGAGGGAACGAGGAGACAGTGAAATTATTAGGATAATATTACAAAAAGAAATCATTTTGTACTTATTCTACATGAATTATATCATCCTATATGAATTATTCTGTAAACTTCTTTTTCTTCTTATCAATATGCCTTGGTGAGTTTTCTATGTTGTTATATGTAGTTCAACATTATTCATTCAATAACAATTTATTGAGTCCCTATAGTACACCAGGCAATATCTACTGGGGGCTCCCTATATGCCACTGGAGAAACGGGCTACATCTCTATTCTCATCAGTCTTACGTTTTAGAGAGGGAGAAAGATAATAGCCAAATAAGCATGTGCATAACTAATATAATAACATGAAGTGATATGTGCTATGAAGACAAAGAAAGTGGGTGAAAGGATATAGGCAGGAGTGGCATTTCAGTCAGAGAAGGCCACTCTGCTGAGGCAAAATCATTGCTTTTCACTGTTTCATAGCATCACATTTCCCTAAAAAAGGATAGTAAGGTTTATTTCCCATTTTTTTTGGCTATTACAAGTCATGTTGTAATATTTACCTCCTCGTGCACACAAATAGTAGTACTTTGAGTAGACACTGAAAAGTGGAATTACTAGGTCATATTGGCAAACTGCTCTCTGAAATGGATGTGTTAACTTGCACTCCCATCAGAAACTGCATGTTCCCTACACCTCTTTTAATAGTTAATACTATCAAAATTATTAATTTTACCAATGTGATATATGAAAAAATGATATCTCAGCTATTTTTAATTAGCACTTCTCTTATTACTCTTTAGTTTGAATATCACTTCATACGTTTATTAAACATTCATTTTTCCTATCTTGTAAAATGACATTTTATTTCCTTTGCCCATGTGTTTATGGGATTTTCTGTCTTTTTCTTTGGATTTGTTGGCATTCACGTATTCAATTTGTCTTACATATGTTGCAAATATTGTATCTAATTCTTTGTCATATAGAACTTTATTTATTCATGTGCTGAATGTATCCATGTATCCCTTTAGTGGTCATATATTTCTCAGTTCTTGAGTTTTTAAATTCAAATTCAGTGTATGTTTGTTAAGTATTCCCTATATATAAGACATCGTGCTAGGCAGTTTGAAAGACAGCAAAGTAAATGAGATATGTTGTCTGCCCTCATGAATCTCACAACTTAGTGGTGGAGACACATGAAAACAAATACCTGTAAAGCCTAGGGCCTTGATCATCCAGAAAATACCATAAAAAGAATTGCTATGGTAGAGCAATGCCTAAGTCAGAACCAGGCACCGAGGAATTTTTCACAGATGCAGTAGCTCTGAAGAGAAAACAGCCTTTTGTAAGATACGGGTGAGGGTAAAGACCTTCATCTTAGAAGAAACAGCACAAGCCAAGGCAGAATATGCAGTAAGGAAAGGATAGAGAGAAATTTCTAAGAAAGCTGGACAGTGGGTGTGTGGTTAGGAATAAAAGGAGTGTGGCAGAGAATAGACTGAAAAGGTAGGATGCAACTATTTAATCTTTTACCCATTAATAAGAAATACTGATAAATTCCACACTTCCTAGTCTTTTTGAAAAGTAGTCATTAAAGAAAAGAACAATTAACTGTGAGAAGTTAAGCACAAAGCTGGAGTGATTGGGTGAACACAGATAGCCTTGCTCTAGTGTTCGATGGCAGCTGAAGATGGATTGTCACACAGCCTGTGTGTATGTGTGTGCACTACCGGTGGATCTGCTGGTTTCGACCTGGCCAGAGCCCTTGCCCAAGAACAGCTGCAATTTGCAAGTCTTCTTAAATCTGTTTTACCATCCTGCAGAGGTAAGAGTTGGATAATTTATGCCCTATGACTTCACAGTCCTCTGGGGAGGCTGCCAAGGAAAGCATGTTTTGGATAGAAATCTTAAAAAAAAGCAAAAAAAAAAAAAAAAAAAAAAAAAGTAAAAACCTAAGCCCAGTTTGGCATAGGGCTAAGGTTTCACATCCAACTCCTCCCTAGGATCTGCCATTTAATCATCCTCCAGGATGCAAGGGCTGCCATGGGTTACTGGGGATAGCGATTAGGCACCCTTGGGCTGCATCAGCAAACACCCTCTCCTGATAGGCAGTTGGAAAGTAATGGGATTTGGGTTTTAGTTGTGAGAGAATGATGGAAAATGTTACAAACAGCTGACCTCCTTTGCCCCTACTGAAATAGCAGCCTTCCTCTGCACATTTATATGTTGCTTTGGGGAGAGTGACAAAAGACAGATGCTTCTTGCTGGAATGCCAGTTGCTTAATCATTCTTTCTGGTCCCAAGACATTTACTGTAGCTTCTTGGAGCTGACATCTTGGGCCACTCCTTGGTTTTCAATGTCTTGTAAATTGTGTTGCAATTTTCCATTACATGGAATATGGGAAAGTTTGTGGGAGAGTTTTTTTGAAGGTGTTATGTCGCAGATGGTGTCCTCAGCAAAAAGCCTTAAAGTTGGGAGTGCAGGAATTGCAAATAAACTGTAAGCTCTGCAGTGAGACACACACACAAAAGACCTGGTCTGGCTCCTGTCTCCCACACGGCTTCACTCAGGTCCGCGGAAGTGTTTATGTCCATTCCAAGGCTCGGCAGTAACATCTGAGATTAATCTTCTCAACAGCATGACCTGACCACGCAGTGCCCACGACAGAGGAGACCTGCTTCCTCTCCAGGTTCTGTGGCCTCACAGCACCCAGGAAGCAGCATGGTAGATAAAATGTCCTTCAGAAGTATAGTAAACTCTCATCTTAGCCACAGACTGCCCTCCTCAGCAGGTCTCTTGCTGTCTGTTTTCAGAAAGATAACATTAAGGAGAAACTGAAAAGTTTTGATGTAGTCAGGCATTTTTATTATGTTAAGAAACAAGAGTAAACGATTAGTCTCATAATCACATACAACCTGTTTCCCAGGAGGATGGCATGCTTAGGAACAGGCAAATCATGACAGTGATTTGGAAAGATATTCATATTGTTTTCCCTTAAAAGTCATAACATTTGGTTGAACTTCACGATTCCTCTTGTTTTAGTGTTATCTTGTTAAATTTACTTTTTCTGAATGTGAGCCTGTGAATGTTTTTTGTCACCCTCCTGTCATATTTACAAATTCTCTTGATTAGCCCCATGACCTCCTTCCCCTGTGCAGAGATGCTTATTTCTTTCCTCCCTGGTGACTATTATACTCTGAAGAGCTCCCTCCTCAACATGTGGGAGCTTCAAACTGAAGAAGTCACAACTAAAAATGTTTTATCTGTGTGTTGGCCCCCCATGTCTTAAGGAGAAGAGACATTCTAGGGAGGAACACACCAATGTGTGCATGAGGAGCATTTGGAAACAGGTAGGATGGATAATAAGACTTTGGGTTTCTATGACACTTTTCACAAGGACATTTAGAAATGTATAAAGATTATTCCCCAAGCCCTCTCTTCAACTGGGTTAAGAGCAAGAATAATTTTCATGTTTTATCAAGAAAAACCAGAATAAGGAGAATTGTCTCTACTCTGCCAGCTTTACCCAGCTCAGAAACCAAGTCCCACCCTTCTGAGATTAGAGACATCGTCTGTCAGACTCACTGCCTCTCCCCAGCCTCTCTTTGGTTCTCTACTTTGTATAAACCAATGTTCTTGGCTCCTTATTTAATCTTAAAATCAATGTTGGGTGAATCAGTCAGAATATTTGGACATTCTGTTCAGAAAACATTGTAAATTGATCAAGATTTGCTTGTCCTGCAAAACTCTCCTGGCATTCTTAATAGCAGTCTTCTGTCCTCAGATGACCTCATGAAATGTAGAGTTTGTGTGAGGAGATGATATGGACAATTTCCCCATTGCCCTGAAAGAGACACACCCTGTTACACTACTTTGCCTTCATCCATGCTGTCCTCTCTTCCCAGCATGCCTTTCTTCCCTGCCTGCGTCCACCTTCAATGTTCTTATGTGCCTTCTAAAATTAAGTTTGACTACTATCATCCCCCTCATCAAGGCTTCACACACATACTTCATTTCTCCTTCTTAACAAAGCCCCAATTTTGTTCAAGTCCCACTCACTCCTCTCCCACAAGATGTGTGTCTGAAGAAAGGTGTTGATCTTAGTCCCATCTGCATGAAAGGACTAATCAACATAAGCAAAATCTCAGTCCCTTTGCCAGGGATTGGCTAAAGAATTGTCATACAGTCTTGGCCAATCAGACAGGAGGGAAAGCTTGTGAAGGGCTCTCAGTCCTCATTAGTAAGATGGGGACCAAGAAAGAGATGGTCAGCCCTCTTCCCCTAGTTGTGCCATGTCTGACTGTGGCCTTAGGGTGGCTGCCTTCCTCTCAGCAACAAGCCAAGTAGGCCAGCTGGCTTCTTAGTAACACTCCATGTTCACTTAACTCTGAGAGTCTCAGTTTCCTCTTTTTCAAAATGAGGAAGTTGACCTCAATTATCCGTAGCTTCCTTTTAACTTTAGAATACCACACATGCCTCTAAAAGATGATGGGGGAGGAGATATGGAGGAGGATCTAGGAAGTGAAGAAGGCCACTTAATTTCATCTGTAGCTCTAACCATCTGCTGCTATTAACATGAGCAAGCAGCTATTTGCATTTTATGACTGGGTGATCTCAACTCTCTAGTTTAAGAAACAAGTACTAATCTTGGTTTAACCACTAAAATATCCTCACATTTCCCCATTCCCCGAAGTGAATCTATTAATATCCCTTTATCTTGTTTGGTAAACAAAATGTTTTTTACTAACATTAAATGAAAAGGGTAGTACAATTCAAGTTTAGGAACCAAAAAGATTTTTTTCCCCTTAATTTCAAGTTAAACCATTTTATTCTCCTTCTGTAATTGTTCCAAAACCACCCAAGAAGACCTAAAGAATTTGTAAATGGAGAAGTATGGAAAAAAATTTTTTTTAATGCAGGATTACATTGCTTAAGGTTAGTAGGTCTTAGCTTGCTTCGAAATGTTAAGAGACTTAAGTTGAAGCACCATCTAGTGGCTCTCAATTGTGTTCTGCTAAAAATTGCTCCCAGTCTCCCTGTATTTAGGACCACAGTTAATTTGTTGGGCATGTATATCATTGACCCTGGAACAGCAAGTTGAAAGTGCACAGATCTACTTATATGTGGATTTCTTCCACTTCTGCGTCCCCTGAGACAGCAAAACCAACCTCTCTACTTCCTCCTCCTCTTCAGTCTACTCAATGTGAAGACAACAAGGATGAAGACCTTTATGATGATTTACTTCCGCTTAATAAATAGTACATACATTTTCTCTTCCTAATGATTTTCTTAATATTTTCTTTTCTCTAGCTTTCTTTATTGTAAGAATACAGTAAACAATACATATAACGTACAAACTATATATAAATCACTGTTTATGTTATCAGTAAGGCTTCTGGTCAACAGTAGGCTATTAGTAGTTAACGTTTTGGGGGAGTCAAAAGTTATATGCAAGTTTTCCACTGCATGGGGAGTTAGCACCCTTAACCCCCATGTTGTTCAAAGGTCAGCTCTATATGAACACATGAGAGGGTTCAGAAAAAAAAAGTGGAGTTTTTTTTATCTTTATATAGCAGTGGGAGGATGGGGGTAGTAGCTGTAGCTTTTTACTCTTTCAATCTAATCATGGCAGTGAGAATGGGATAAAGAAATTACGTGAATTCACATAAATCTCTTCTAGAAACAATAAAGTTCATCCAGTGGAAAAAAGAATTAATACAAATTTAATACAAATAAAATTTCATAGATTTCAGTTCTCCTGTTTCTCCTACTCACATTCTCTCTAAAAGCCCATAACGGTATCTTTATCTTCCTTCTGAATCCCATAATGTAGACATGTTCTCACACATCTAGGGATTGGCTATTAGATCATTTTTATGTATCTCCAAGTTCTCAAGCCCCTTCCCACAACAAGCCCAGAGCATCCCTTGCATTTATATAACCAACAATTTTTCTTGAACTGTCATAGAGATAACATTCATATCTATGATTCCTATCTTCTGAAGTTACATCTTTTCATTACCTCTATGGGCAGAATGAAAATAGACCATAACAATTGCACATGAGTAGGAACATCTGTTTCATTGTCACTAGGGGAAGAACAAAAATTGGACATGAAAATGGATATGAGTAGAAAATAATTTGTAGCAAGATTGACACAAACCTTCAGATTAACAAACTAGGTATTTGTATCAATTAGTATTAAGTTTAGCTGCGTGTAGAGTAAAACCAAAAATAACACTGGCATGAACAAAATTTTATTCACTCTAACACAAAAGAAGTCAATGAATAGGTGGTTGAGGGTTTATAGGGAAACTTCATGGTCATCAAGCCCAGGATCCTTCTTCCATCTTTCTTTTCTTCTATCCTACTGAGTGGCTTCTATCCTTAACATCATCCATGGCCCAAGTTCACTGCTGGACCATCACTCATCTCACCAATGTTGCAGTCCAGAGACAAGGAGGAGAAGCAAAAGAAGACCCTTCCTTCTTCTTTAAAGAACTTTTCTGAAAGTATTACACAAGATTTGTATTTATATCTCATTTTCCAGAGCTTATGCAAGTGGGCATACTCAGCAAAGGAAACTGAGAAATGCCTTTTAGCTAAGTACATTCCAATAATAAATTAAATTGGAGTTATGCTATTAATCAATGTGTCAATTACCTAAGACACCAGGAATGCTGTATAACAAACAACCATAAAACCTCTGTGGCAACAATTGCTTATATGCCTGGGATCAAGTGGAGGTCAGGTCTTCTCATCTTGACTGAGCTTACTCATATGTTTAGGGGATGGCTGACTATTGCATCTTCTAGGTTGGCCTCAACAGAGAGGTAGGGATGGGACTGAGGGGACACAGCTCTGATCTACATGGTTCTCATCCTCCATCTGGATAGGCCAGGCATGTTCTCATGGAGTAACGAGTAGAACAGAACTTCTTGAGACCTGTGCTCAAAACAGATACATTAACACTTCCACCTCATTTTGTTGGCCAAAGCAAACTGCATAGGATGGATAAATATGTACTCTCTGTATGGAAAGAACTCTAAAGTCAACTGAAAAATTACATGGATAGACGGAGAGGTGAAGATTTAGAGTCATGGATATACTCATCTGCCACAAGGAGAAAGGGGAGGATGAGCATTGGACCAGTGATATGGCTTGGCTGTGTCCTCACCCAAATTTCATCTTGAATTGTAGCTCCCATAATTCCCATGTGTTATGGAAATCAATTCCATATTGTAGCTCCCATAATCAATTCCATAATCAATGGAAATCAATTCCAATTGTAGCTCCCATATGGGAGGGACCTGGTGAGCGGTAATTGAATCATGGGAGCAGGTCTTTCCCATGCTGTTCTCATGGTAGTGAATAAGTGTCATGAGTTCTGATGGTTTTATAAGCAGGAGTTCCCTTGCACACACTCTCTCTTTGCCTGTCACCATGTAAGACGTAGCTTTACTCCTCCTTGCCTTACACCATGATTATGAGGCCTCCCCAGCCATGTGGAACTGTGAGTCAATTAAACCTTTTCCTTTATAAATTACCCAGTCTTGGATATGACTTTATTAGCAGCATGAGAACAGACTAATACAACCAGGTAACAAGCAATCTCTGCCGCAGTGTAGTATTTTTTTAGTCTGTTATAAAATTGTATTAATGGACTGATTCCCATTCTATGCCCTGTCTTAAACATAAGGGAATTATAATAAAAAAGAAAGGCACACAACAGCTTACATCATATTATATATAGTATATATATAATTTACTAATTTAGTTATTTTTTACTTATGTTCAATTACAAAAAGGTAAGTGTTAATCTTAGTATTTGTTCTATTCTTTATTATGGGCAGAGACTGGGCTAGATGTTGCAGTGAACCTGATTCCTTTTCTTCCAAGGCAGCTAGACTACATTTTCCAACCTCTGTGGATGTTAATATAGCTATGCTACTAAGAACTAACCAATGGAATGTGAGCAGAAGTGATTACTACTCCAGGCCTGGCCCATAAACACCTCCCACATAACATCCTCTATTCTGTCTCCCTGTTTCCTATTCACCAGCTGAACTAGAAAATATTCTGAGAAGGGCAGAGCCATAAGATAAAGTGACAGCTTAAAGCAACACCTCTCTTCTCTGCCCTGCCTCAGCCCCACCAACTGCACTAGAGTGTGATGTGAGCAAGAATTAAATTTTTGTGGTGTGAATACACTGAGATGTAGGGCCTGTTTGTTTCAGCAATTAAATAACCATATGCATATAATATCATCCAATTTATGCATTCATTTTTTCCCTTAGGGCTTTGCTAAAAATAAAAGTAATAGGCCAAATCACCAGTTTGTTTTCATGCTGCTGATAAAGACATACCGAAAACTTGGAACAAAAAGAGGTTTAATTGGACTTACAGTTCCACATGGCTGGGGAGGCCCCAGAATCATGGGGGTAGGTGAAAGTCACTTTTTACATGGTGGCAGCAAGAGAAAATGAGGAAGAGCAAAAGCAGAAACCCTTGATAAACCTATCAGATCTTGAGATAAACCTATCACTATCATGAGAATAGCACGGGAAAGACCAGCCCTCATGATTCAATTACTTCCCTCTGGGTCCCTCCCACAACACGTGAGAATTCTGGGAGATACAATTCAAGTTGAGATTTTTGTGGGGACACAGCCAAAACATATCAACTTGCTACTTTAAATAAGAAAAGTCTTCTTTTAAATAAAAAATCACTTTTTACTATAGGATTACCATCTGTATCAAGTGAATATAGGATCTCAGTTTACAGTGGCCCTAGAAGATACAAGGATTTCACCAGTGTCTTACTCTTAGCATCATTAATCCATCCAACGGCTACAACCTAAAGTGTAAACAAGAAAGGGAATTGAGACATTAGAACTCTAAAAAGTAAGGGGAACTTCAGAGTCATCTTCAATGACACTGACATTTCCTTAGTTGAGATCAACTTACAATTTCTGCTAAAATGCAAATACTGCTAAAAATGACTCAGCCATTTACTCAATAATCAGTCCAAACATGCAATACTACTGCTCCACTAATTGCTAGCAAGCAAGTAATGGATGGAAGGTCAGCTACTAGCTGACTTGCAGACAGTGCTTCCAGTGGCTCCTGCCATTGCAGCATTGATTAGCAATTTGGGTGTGTAGAGGAGCCAGGAAGCTGTGAGGAAAGCACCATTTAAAGCACCCAAAGGGTGTATAAAAACTGCCCAGCATCATTATTTGCCTTTTGCTGAGCTATCTTCCTCTTTATTTTGAAAAGCAGTTGTTTCACATTTGCAAATAAAAATTTACCAAGGAAAATGGGAAAGTAGATAAAGTATCCTAGGCATTTATGATGGCAGGCACGAAGCTTTTGCATGTGTACTTACACTGTATGCTAAGAGTCTGAAACAGATCTTGGTAACTGTATTAGTCTGTCTTCACACTGCTGTAAAGAATTCCCAGAGACTGAGACCGGGTAATTTACGAAGAAAAGACTTTTAACTGACTCACAGTTCCACATGGCTTAGGAGGCCTCAAGAAACTTACAATCATGGCAGAAGGCGAAGGGGAAGCAAGGCATGTCTTACATGGCAGCAGACTGGAGAGTGAGCAGGGGAAACTGCCACTTATAAAACCATCAGCTATTGTGAGAACTCCCTAACTATCACAAGAACATCATGGGGGAAACCACTCCCATGATCCAATCACCTACACCAAGTCCCTCCCTCAACACGTGGGGATTACAATTTGAGATGAAATTTGGGTGGGGACACAGCACCAAACCATGTTAGTAACTATCACATCAAGTCGCAAAAGAAGTTAAGCTAGACTTTGAACCCAAAGGCTTATTGCAAATGGCTGCTTTTTTTGTGATGTCTCATCAAATATAAATTGACATCCAGCTCTTTCGATTTTCATTCTTTAGGAAAAAAGCCCATAAAATATATAATTAAGCAGGAATGAACACAAGCCCTTTACAAAGAAATTTGAAAGTAAACACTTGAGAAGCCCCAGAAACTTTCTCCCACCAAATTCTGAAGATGTGGACTAGGCCACTTCTCTCCTAGACTAAAACCACAATGAAGCACTTTCACAATGAAGTTCTTGCCCCAGTGCTGCAGGCACATCTGCCTGGGCTCTCAGTTGTTAATGATGCCTTCACATTAAAGAAGGGGCTGGAGGGAGAATACAACATACCAAAAAAGTGTCAAGCTTTTCCCAGTACATTGTAAACTCAAAATGTTACAATGATACTTTTTTTTTTCTACTGTGTCTTATGCTTTTCAGTCTTCAGTTCCTACCTGACATGATTTATCCTCTGGAAGAAAACAAATCCTGTGGTGACCAGAATGACCACAAAAAGAGAGAGTTTCACATAAAGAATGATCAGTAAGGACAACGCTGGAGATCCTGAGGTTCTGAGACCTTTAAATACAGACAGGGGTGAAAAATCATTTCAAGCATTCTTCTAGTTACAAATTAGAGTCAATCATTTTAAAGAACATTTTAAAATATTCTTAAGAGTTCATGGACTGTCATAATCATAAAACCTTCTAAATTATGACTCAAATGTTACTAATATACCATTCTTTCATGACAGAGTTTAGGAACCATGTTTGTGTTTTGTACATCGTAGGTTTCTGACAAATTTTCTGAACAAATAAATGCACACTACGCATTGCTAATACTTTCCAATTTTATAAGAAAAGCAATATGTCAAGCTTTCCCCTGTATATTCCAACTTCCCATGCAAATATTAGCGTTTGAAAGAACATTACTCTTAATATTTGGGGTTTGAGCTGATAACACTTTCCACACAATGAAGTGATTTTCTTACTAAGTTGATGTAACCTCTTTAGCAAGGTGTTTTATATCTTCCTACTTTCATTTTTATTTACCTGTGAAATGGCCCTAGGAATTATTGAAAAGATAAATCAAACTAATTAGGAACATCATTCTTTTTTTATTTTTATTTTTTGAGAGGGAGTCTTGCATTGTCTCTCAGGCTCTAGTGCAGCGGCGCAATCTCGGCTGACTGCAACCTCCACCTCCTGGGTTCAAGTGATTCTCCTACCTCAGCCTCCAGAGTAGCTAGGATTACAGGCATGCACCACCACGCCTGGCTAATTTTTGTATTTTTAGGAGAGATGGGGTTTCGTCATGTTGGCCAGGCTGGTCTCAAACTCCTGACCTCAGGTGATCCGCCCGCCTCAGCCTCCCAAAGTGCTGGGATTACCGGCATGAGCCACCATGCCCAGCCAGAAGCATAATCTGAAGTCTCTTATCCTATGAAATTGACCACCTAGGCAGGGTGTGGTGGCTCACACCTGTAATCCCAGCACTTTGGGAGGCCAAGGTGGGTGGATCACCTGAGGTCAGGAATTCGAGACCAGCCTGACCAACATGGTGAAACCATGTTTCTACTAAAATACAAAAATTAGCCGAGCGTGGTGGCATGGGCCTATAATCTCAGCTACTCGGGAGGCGGAGGCAGGAAAATCTCTTGAACCCAGGAGGCAGAGGTTGCAGTGAGCTGAGATTGCACCACTGCACTCCAGCCTGGGTGACAGATTGAGACTCTGTCTCAAAAAAAAAAAAAAAAGTAAAGTAAAAAAGAGAAAAAGAAATTGGCCACCTAAAGAATGTGTGAACTCTAAATACAAGTCTGACTCCTGGCTCCAAGAGGTCATTCTATCCCATTAAATAACCTGCTCAAACACTAAACTAGAAAAATGTCAGACAATCCTAGGCATTGTGAGGAAATAAGAAAATGATATGGTTACAGTCCTCAAAATATCTTATAATCCAACTGGAGAAGTCAGACTCATACAAATGAGAAGACAACTTATATGAAAGAAAAATAAAAGCTCAAGACCCCAATTCACTATGCCAAATGGGAAAAATTAAGCTGAAAGCTGAGTCATGCAAGCAACTACCTTTCCTTTTATTCCTAAGCAGATAGCTACAGATAAAACATAAATTTCTCCACAGGTAGCTACTCTGTGTTCACCTTATCATAATTGACTATTCCTCTAATTGCTCCTTTTCTCTTGCAACTTGTGAATTACCACACCCTTCCTCTTTCCCCTCCAGCGCACTTTTACCCTTTAAATATTGAAGCCCTCAAAGTCATCTTTGGAGAAAGGCACAGATCACCGACTGTTTCTGAGATTCTGTGGTGTTTTTTTTGTTTTGTTTTGTTTTGTTCTGTTTTGATCTGTGCAAATTGTCCTAAACCTTGGCAAAATGAACTTCTAAATTAATTGAGACCTGTCTCCAATACTTTTTAGTTAAATGTACAAGAGAGAAAACAGTGCTGGATGAACATTACAGATTATAAATCATCTAAGGAATTCAGAACGTTTAATCAACTCTAACACAGAGGTCAGGGAGAAGCAGGACTTGAAATGGACCTTGCTGGTCTGCGGGATTGAATAGGTTAAAAGAAAGACTTTTCAAGATAAAGAACTAATTTGAGAAAAGTTTTAAAGATGAGTTTACCTAAGTCATATTTGGAGCATAGAATGGAATATGTAGAGATGAGTCTGCAATGATTTGAACCTAATTCTGCAGTGACTTGTATGTGTCAGCAACTGTGCCAGACTTTAGGAATACAAAAATAAAAGTAGTGGTTCCAACTCTCAAGGACCTTACACTGTGCTGAGAGTCACAGAAGTAAGTGGTTGTAATATGATAAGCAATATGTATGTATTTGGTCTTTGTCCCCCAGTTCCTGGCACACTTCCAAGGATTTTTCCTAAACTTCTTGGAAGTTCCACAGTGATCCATCTTTTGTATGCTAATGAGATGAGTGGTGGCTGGGAGCCTGAAGACAGCTTCAGGATGGGGCTGGTAATTAGAAAGACCAAGACATGGTTAGAGGGTTGAAACTTTCAGCCCCACACCACCACTCTCCCCTTCCATTGACCTCCTGGGAGGGGAGAGGGGCTAGAGATTAAGCTAAAAACCAATGCCCAACAATTTAATCAATCATACCTATGTAATAGAGCCTCCACAAAAACTCTACATGACAGAGTCTGGAGAGCTTCTGGGTTGGGAGATTTTCTGAGCTGGTGAACACACTGAGGGGCTGGGAGGTTGGCACTCCCAGAGACATCACGGAAGCTCCTTCCCCCATACCTTGCCCTATGCATCTCTTTTTATCTTTTTTTGTCTGTTCCTGAGTTGGACACTTTACAATAAATTAGTAATAGTAAATAAGTGCATTCCTGAGTGTCAAATTTAAAAATCTAAGCTGTTGGAATTTTAAAATATGTTGAGCCTTAACGGAATGTGATTATGAGACCTGAGTTATGTAAACAAGCAGCTATGACCTAGGCAGCCAAAATTTTTGTTTACCTGATTGTACATTAGCCTTTTTCCTTGCCTACATTGTTTTGTAAACTGCTGTAAATGATTAAAGGGTGCCAGGGAAGACGTATTCCCTCTAAACTGTTGATCTTCATTATTGATTAACTTCCTTCTTTCTTCTCTCATACAATGACTACCACATTGCCTAACATGAAATGTTAACTGTACTCTTAAAATTGGAAAGGAAATGAAAACAAACTGTACAGAAAAGAAAACAAACTGTAACTTTAATTAAATCATTATAACTCATAAACCAGCTTTGTATGTAAAAAGGGTATAATCCTACTGAATTTGTTTTCTGCCTATATAAGCAAGACCTTAAGTTTGAAGTTTGAAGCACTGACCCCATTCCTTTGGAGTCTGTGTTACCCGAATGGCTGTTCTCAGACTTTTGCTTAAATAAACTCTTTTAAACTGGATTCTGATCCTTTTGATTATTTCAGGTTGACATGAGTTCTGTGAGCCATTCTAGCAAATTATTAAACCTGACAAGGGAATCATGGGAACTCTCTGAATTTATAGCCAGTTGATTAGAAGTTCAGGTGGCAATCTGGGACTTGTGACTGGTGTCTGAAGTGAGGAAGGTCTTATGAGACTAAGCCTTTAACCTGTGGGGTCTGTGCTAACTCCAGGTAGTTAGTGTCTGAATTGAATTGTAGGACACCTAGGTGGTGTCCAGAGAGTTGGAGAATTAGTTGGTGTAGGGAAAAAAACTCACACACATTTGGTGTCAGAAGCATTGTGAATGAAAACAGTGCCAAGCACTCAATTACAGGGCTGTGGAGGTGCTATGACAGAGGCATGCATGAAGCATTCTGTGAGCACAGAGGAGGAATAGCTAACCAAACTTCATGGCAAGAGAAAATCATCCCAGAGGATCAATGTCAAACGAAGTCTTAAAACTTCAACAGGAACTGATCAAATGCAATGGAAGAAGAGAGTGCAGGGAAAGAAGTACCTTATGGAGAGGTAGAAATTGCATGTAAAAGGGAACAGAGGAATACAAGCACTTAACACTTTTGAAGAGCCCAAAGAGGCCCACATGCATGGGGTACAGGATGGAGAATAGTGAAGCGCAAGGCAGGTTGTGATTTGTCAAAGTGTTTAGCTCAATACGAACTATAAGAGAGGCCACTGGGGTTATGTAAGTAGAAGAGTGGCATTTTAGAAAGTTCCCTCCAGAAACAGTAGAGGAGATAAATTGGAGGAAGTTAAGCTGGGTCCAGGAAGAGTTGTTACAAGGACATTGCAATAATCCTGATTACTGATTTGGATACAAATCAGATACAAGTAGTATCCTGAGATACTATTTGACCAACTAAGACAGTAGGGAGAAAGAAAAAGACTCAGATGTAAGAAAAAAATTAAGGTAAAATCAACAAAACATCATGACTGGCATTGAATATGGGGAATAAGAAAGAGAAATGTTGTAGAATATTCTAAAGTTTCTAGCTTGAGTCATTTATCAAGATATAAAATACAGATATAGGGCTCATGAAGGAGTAGAGCAGAATGGTTTCAAAAATATGTAAGTAGAGGTGCCCTTGATGCATGCAGGAGAAGCTGTCCAGTTGGAAGTTGGTTTTGGTCACTGTGTAGCCAAGGAGAGAAATCTGAGCAGAACTATAGACTCGAGAGTCAAAAATTAGACAGTGGTTGAAGCCACAGGTATGGATGAGGTTACTCAAGTACAAAGGTAGAATAAGAAGATGGACAAAGATGGAATACATAGAAATGTGTCCATTCATGAGATGAATAGAAGAAATAAATCTACTTAAGAAAACGAAAAAGTTGACTGAAAGTTAAGAAAAGAACCAAGTGAGAATACGAGGAAAACGCATCAGAAAGGAGCATTGTGTCAGAAGCATTGTGAATGAAAACAGTGCCAAGCAGTCAATTACAGGGCTATGGAGGTGCTCTGACAGAGGCATGCATGAAGCATTCTGTGAGCACAGAGGAGGAATAGCTAACCAAAATTCAAGGCAAGAGAATATCATCCCAGAGGATCAATGTCAAACTAAGTTTTAAAACTTCAACAGGAATTGATCAAATGCAATGGAAGAAGAAAGTATAGGGAAAGAAGTGCCTTATGGAGAGGTGGAAATTGCATGTAAGGCCGGGCACGGTGGCTCACGCCTGGAATTCCAGCACTTTGGGAGGCCCAGGCGGGCGGATCACCAGATTAGGAGATCGAGACCATCCTGGCTAACACGGTGAAACCCCGTCTCTACAAAAAAATACAAAAAAATTAGCCAGGCGTGGTGGTGGGCGCCTGTAGTCCCAGCTACTCGGGAGGCTGAGGCAGGAGGATGGCATGAACCTGGGAGGTGGAGCTTGCAGTGAGCCGAGATTGCACCACTGCACTCCAGCCTGGGCGACAGAGCGAGACTCTGTCTCAAAAAACAAAGATTAAAAAAAAAAAAAAAAGAAATTGCATGTAAAAGGGAACAGAGGAATAGAAGCACTTAACACTTTTGAAGAGCCCAAAGAGGCCCACATGCATGGGGTACAGGATCATAAAATGTATTATTAAAAAGCTAATAAAATATTTAAAATTAGTAAATATTATATAAAATTATATATTATTAGATATTTAAAATTAATAATTATAATAAATATTACAAAGAAGCTAATTAAGTGAACAAAGAATGAAACATTTATATTTTATTTGGCACTTGGGAGATGCTTTTTGTCAGAGCATTTTCTGCGCAGGGAGACACAAATGAGTTAAGGAATAGATGTGAGGTGATATAGAAGAGACAGTAAGTGTAGGCTCCTCTTTTAAAAAAATTCTTGGATATGAGTAGAAGCCAAGAGTTAATGTTTGAGGAAGTCATAACACCAAGTTTTTGGATACAGAAGAAAAATAGGCGTGTTTTATGAGCAGCTTTAGGAAAATAATTTAAGGAACAAAAAAACTAAACAAAAGAGAGAGGAGAATGAAGAAAAGCTCCTAAGGAGATAAAAGGGAAAAAAGATTTAGAATTTGGGTTGAATGTTGGTACTACAGAAGGGAAGATCAGGTAATACTGAAGATAAATGGACTGATCTATAGATAAGACGTATGAAGTAAGAGGCTAGACTTGATGGGAGATTGATCATGGAAAACACAGCTAACGAATACATGGTTTCCTTTTGGGGGTGATAAATATGCTCTAAAATTGATTGTAGCAATGGTCACACAAGCATTGAATTGCATGCTTTAAATGGGTGAAATGTATGGTATATAAATTAGATGTCAATAAAGCTGATGCAAAAAAGAAAAGAACAAACATGAAAGATATTATGAGGAATAATTAATATGATTATATTTAATATTAGTTGTAATAATTATCACAATAGCTAATTTTTATTAATACGATATATATAATAACCAACATTTATTAATATAAGGAAATCTAGTGGCTAACATTTGCTGAGTGTCAATTATGTAGTAGGTATATTAATACAATTATATGTACAACATGTTTTCATATATATGTAATTTTATTTAATTAACCCAATAATCCTATTAGGTAGATCCTATTATCCTCATTTAACAGACAAAGAAACCATGAGACAGAGATATTAAATACTGTTCAAGTTCATATAGCTGGTGAACAAAAAGCCATGTTATGTGAGAGGCTTTGCTCCTAAACACCAGATTATCCTGCCCAAAACAATATAAAGATGTGGACCTTAGCTTTTCATCTTTGCATCACCAGCTTCAAACTTATAAATAGCATTCAATAAATATTTGGAGAATTAATTAATATATTGCTTTTGGATGATGAGACGGGAAGAATTACTTGTCTCTTACTCAAGGTAACAAAGTAATAACTACTACAAGAAATAAAATCAGGAAGAAAATAGCTGTCATTCTGGGCTATCTACTGAACAAGGATTGTTAAAACTACATAAAACTCTTGATATTTCATATCAAGAATTAATCTCAAAGTAAGGGCCTATAGATCACTAAGTTAACAAAATCTATTTTTATGGCTGTTCTACTAAAAGACAGATTCTAGCGTTGTAATGCATTTCTCAGTTTGAGAGAATATTTTCAAGCTAGGAGCTCAAATTTTCTTACCTGCTGTTTGGTTATTCGTTATTTTCTATGGAAGAAAAAGTTGAGCATCAAGTTTACTCTTCTACAAGAAACAGGCGCTTACCTGAATTCAACTTTACGGACAGACTCTTGTTGCCAGTCAAATGGGAGACATGGCAGGTCACAGTAGACTTGTGGCCCTCCCAGGGGCATGTACTCTTAACCGTCACTGTGCCATTGCCCCAGTATTCTTGCTTAGTGGCAAGAATAGATCCCTCTGGGATCCAGGAGATCTGGGCAGCTGGCTTCCCTGTAACTGCCTTGCATACTGCAGTTATATTCCTGCTTTGAAATAGGTTCACTTCGGGTGTAACTGCAGAGAGGAAAGAGGGAAAAAAATGCTTCAGTTTTCACATAAAGCATATGGAATTCAGAGAGACATTTGTTTCAGTCACAAATCTGGTGATGTGAAATACCTCAGTATGTGATGCTCCTTACCTAACACTTGGAGGTGATATCCACGATGGAAATTCCCATCAGGTGTTACCACTATGCCTCTGTAATACCCGTCATGAGTGGTGTCCACCGGACGAATCTGAAGGTCCGAATTCTGATCAGGTCTAGAGACCCAGGTTATTCTCTCAACAGTACAGTTGGTTTCCTTGGTCTCATTTGTTTCTTTCTTGTAGGCTTTTGTGCAGGAAGGCTGGCCTCTCAGGATTATTTCCCATGTTATTATGATCAAATTTCTTAATGCGATAGGAGGGCAACAAAGCACAGCATTTATATCCATCAGTACAGGCTGTGAAATGTTACCTGGACACACACACAAAGGATAATGATATAGAAAACCTTGATAAGGAACTTCATGTGTTATGTTTATCCACAGTATATTACATGAAGTTTTATTAGAACATAAATTTGCTGATCTTATTCCAGAAATATTAGACTTAGGTAAGAAAATAACATTCACAAAATATAAATAATATATTGAACCCAATCTAAAGATTAACAAACTTTCTCCAGTATTATGTATTATTAGAAAAACAATATACATAACATTGTATTCTGAAATACAATAAAGTATTCTGATTTTAGTTCAGGAGTTTTAATATCTAGAAACAGAAAAGAAAACAGAATTATAATTTAAACAACAAAGGCAATGTTCTAAATCTAATCTTTAGGTGGTAGAGACTACTGTATTTATCATACAATTCATGTGCCTTGGAAAAGAAAATGGAATAACTAGTGATGTGATTGTCTCCTCCTTCGTTTTGGTGAGCACAAGAAAAATCAGTAACATCAAAGTTAAATACCTGTCTCTAAGGTTGTTATTTCAGACAACCATAAATGTGGAAAGTTTGTGGTTCTTTCATTAAAGGTAACTAATACGGCATTCAAGTGGAGCTAGCTGGACATGTTTTATTTAGATAATTACATGTTTTGTTTAGAGAATTACAGTCAGTGAGATCCACAGATCTTTAAAAAATCTATAATTTTGCCAGTTGAGCCATCCCATGTAAGTAAAAAAAAATGCCTAGTGATAAGATGTTTAGAAATATTCATTTCTAGTTTAAAAAGTAGTGTGGCATATAATTTTTAAAAAGCTTTATTTTCCTTTGGACATTTATCATGAAAAAGTTTTATTGCAAATTGGTGACATTGTCAAATATAGCCTTTGGATATTTTCCTTCCTTCCTGTTTAGTCACACATACAACCCCAGAGAGTTCAGTGGTAAACTTTCCTCATAGATTTTATTTCTGTATATTCAATCCAATTCTCAGGTGTAAATGTAGAAGTCGACTCCTTTCTGTCCATCTTTTAAAGTAAAAATTAAGCCCTGCATCCTACAAGCATCTGCCAACATAGATTCTCATGCATCTCGTAAGCCAACACAATGTTTCCACAACTGATCAGGGTTTACTAAGAGGTACTTATTCTGCCGAAGTATCTGTCACTACTCACCTGTAACAAAGGTGAGTGTCAGAGATCTCATCACTATAGCATAAGCAGAATCAGTTGCAGAGGGGCAAAACTTTATGTGGATGAAGTTTGTTTTTGCTACACCCTGCAATTAATATCTCTCCTCTCCTGTTTTGGTGTCACCTGTCTCTTATGTGGTACTTTAACCCTTATATTTGACAGTCAAATAATGATCACATAACCAGATGCAGAAAGAAGCAGGACTTTAACGCAGACCTGAAAGGTCATTAAATCCACGCTCCTTCCAGCACTCCACCTTAGCAAAGGTTCAGAGGTAAGCAAGAGTATGGCTTGTTTGGAGAACTAGAGACTGGGACATTCAGGGTCCTTCGTACCACAGCACTCAGATCAACATGTTCTTCAAGTAGTCACAAGGCTGGCCTCCAGCCAGGCCATCAGCTAATGATTCTACTGAAGTTCAACTTTCCATCCCTCAGTGCTGGCCACTACTAAGGGAGCATATTACCTTCTGCAAAAATTGTTGAATAGTTCTGTGTCATCTGCTTTCCACCCATGCATGAACTACTTGAAGCTAGAAAACATTTAGAGAAGAATAAGCGAAATCAATTTTATGTACTCAGAATGGAAACAAGTGTTTCCCCACAGTCTTACTCAACATGAAGACAATTAGTTAACCATAACTAAAATTATACAAAAATCATTGTAAAACAGAAATTAGAAGTTATGCCATCATTAGAGGAAAAAACATGTTAACATCTTGAAAATTATACTTATAAGCAATTGATAATGATTTCTCATTCATGAGATGCTTTGTTTAGTCAACTAGTTTGTATGAGGTAACCATGCCTCCCCCTATTCCTCCTTCCCCAACCAAGGAGATGGGTCCATGTGGGCATCTCACATGAGCTGGTCCAATTATACTCCTTTCTCCAAATGCTGGAGACAGCATCTTTAAATGAAATTTCTCTGCACATTTTTTTTCCTTTTTAACCTAGCTCCTCTAAAAGAGTGAAAGAAATGAACACAAAACTGGAATAATTACTAACCAGGAAGTAGCTCTATAGACACTCTTGTTGCTACTCAAATGTGCCTATCATAAGGTCATGGTAGACACATTGTGGCCCTCCCAGTGACATGAACTCCCAACAGTCACTGTGCCATTGCCCCAATATTCTTGGTTGGTGACACAATCCCCCTGCGGGGTCCAGGAGATCTGTGCAGCTGGCTTTGCTGCAACTGTCTTACACACCACAGCTCTATGCCTGCTTAGAAACAGGGTCACTTCGGGGGAACTGCAGAAAGGTAAGGAAAAAGTGCTTCAATCTTAACATAAAGAATATGAAATTTAGAGAGACATTTGTTTCAGTCCAAATCTGATGATGTGCAATGCTACAATATATGATGTTCCTTTCCTAACACTTGGTATGGTTAGGATTAGGTACTTCAGTGATGGCCTAGGGGAATGAATGTTGCAGTAATTCTCAAAGCGTGGTTTTCAGATGGCTAGGGATAGCCAAGACCCTTTCAGTGGACATCATCATGGGTGATATCCATGATGGAAATTCCCATCAGGTGTTACCATTATTCACCTGTAATACCCATAATGAGTGAGGACAATGGGATCAACCCAAAGGGAAAGATTCCAGTCAGGACTGGAGGCCTACGTTATACTCTTGTCATTGCAGTTTTTTTTTTTTTTTTTTTTGCATTGTCTCATTTCTCTCTTTCCTGTAGGCTTTGATGCAGGAAGAATTGTTTCTGATGAGTATTTCCCATGCTGTTACCATCACACTTGTCAATAGGATGGGATGGCAACAGAGCATAGCCTTTGTATCCATTAGTAAAGACAGTGAAGTGCTAACTGGACACAACAAGAAAACGAAAATGATAAAAATTTCTACATGCCAATTTCTTCTATTGGGTCTCATTTAAAGTCCCATAAAACCCTTCTTTTTCTTAATAAGTATTTTACCCACCCTGGATGTAAAAAAGTGGTTGGAGAGGAGAGAGGAGAGATATTTTTGTGTTCATTTCTTTCACTCTTTTAGAGGAGTTAGGTTAAAAAGGAAAAAAAAAAAAGTGCAGAGAAATTTCATTTAAAGTTGCTGTCTCCAGCATTTGGAGAAAGGAGTATAATTGGACCAGCTCATGTGAGATATCCACACGGACCCATCTCCTTGGTTGGGGAAGGAGGAATAGGGGGGAGGCATGGTTACCTCATACAAACTAGTTGACTAAACAAAGCATCTCATGAATGAGAAATCACTATTAGTTGCTTATAAGTATAATTTTTAAGATGTTAACATGTTTTTTCCTCTAATGATGGCATAACGTTTAATTTCTGTTTTACAATGATTTTTGTATAATTTTAGTTATGGTTAACTAATTGTCTTCAGCTTGCAACTCAAACATTTGATATAAATGCATTTCCTCAGGATAATCACCATGATTTGGTATGCAACAAAAATGTGTTAAATGTATTTCCAATTCCATCATGTAGAATACTTAAAAGATACTGTATATAAGGCTTCAGATTTAATACATTAATTATTTTTACTGAATCATCAAAGACATTCTTAGGCAATGTGTACGTGTGTGCATGAGTGAGTGAAGAATACAATGACTATTGGTACAGCTTGGTGCCTCTTATAGGTTGAATTGTATATCTGAAAATTTACATGTTGAAGTCCTAACCCTCAGAGATGTGATCTTATTTGAAAATAAAATCATTACAAGTATAACTAGCTAAGGTAAAGTCATACTTGAGCGGCATGAGCCCCTAACGCAATACAATTGGTGTTTTCATAAAAAGAGCAAATTGGACACAGATATGGACACAGGGAAAGCACCATGTAAAAATTGGAGGTATGCTGCACAAGCCAGGAAATACCAGAAGCTGGGAGAAGGGCTTGAAACAGATCCTTTCGTAGTGCCTTCAGAGGGAGAATTGCCCTGCCAACACCTTGATCTCGGAGTTTTAGTTTCTAGAACTGTAACACAATAGATTTCCATTGCCTCCACTTCTCACTCCATGGTTCTTTGTTACAACAGCCCTAGCAAACTAATACAGTGCTCTGCACTTCATTCATGCTAAGGCACCAGTAATTTTAAACAACAGTTCAATTGCACTATCAGTGAAAATATCAGTAGAAAGGCAAATAACATCACTGTATTATCATTATTATTATTATTGTAACTCATTTTTACCGAGGTGACCCACTGAAAGGGTCTTGGTTATCCCAGCCATCTGAAAACCACACTTTGAGAACTGTTGCAATAGTTATTCCCCTAGTCCTTCACCAAAGAACCTATGACCATGTGTTTAGGTAACCATAACTGGGGAAAAAGGAATACAAGGATCTTTTGAAGGTTATTTGAATACTAATCTGAATTGATCCTGATACCCAAGAACACAAAGAACATTAAGGGCCTCCTGTTAGAGTAGAAACATATCGGAGTCAGATGATAAAAGAAATCCTGGGCCTGGTTCATATCACAGTGGACCTTCAAAGTCCACAGACTTATACAGTGGTGATTTTTCAGTTGCTGAATATTTAATTAGAATGAACATGCTTAGCAGCTTGCAGACCATCTTGTTGATTCCTTGATCTGTAAAGTAAGTGCTATTATAATAGGAAAGACCAAGATAAATCCCCCAAACCACCCCCCTTGGCGAAGATAGTAAATAAATATTAATACTGAAGACCTAAGTATGAGTCTCCTCTCAGAGACTTAAAGTATACTAAAATAGTGGTCCCCATCATGTCTCTTACTTAATTTACCAGTTAGATCCCTGCAAAACACTGGATGGTGAATTATAGTAGATCAATGCAAAATTACCAAAGTATCAGCCCCAACGGCAGCTACTCTGCCAGATAAGCTATCTTTACTAGAGATACTCCAGTTGCAGTATGTGGTTATTGATCTGGTAAATGCATTATTTTCAACATTCATCAGGAAGGAACATCAAAAATAAGTTTGTATTCCACAGGACAGTAGAGAGTATATAAATATGGTCTTGCCTTAATTTCTACTTTCATGTACAATGTAATCTAAAAAGATCTAGGCTATCTGGGCATTTTGCAAAGACCATCATATTGGTCTACTATATTGATGACATCATATCAATTAGATCTTCTGAGCAAAAAGTGAGAGTTATTATGAATACCTTAGTTAATCACATGCATTCCAGAGGTGAGAAGTCAATTCTACAAAGATTCAGGGCCTGACACATTAGTGAAGTTTCTAGTAGGCCAGTGGTCTGGACCCTACCATATATCCCCTCTCGAAAAAAGGACAAATTATTTAACCTTACTTCCTACCACTGAGTAGCACAACACTTGGTTTTGGAGGCAGCCTGCTGCATATTTGCGATTACTGCTCTGACCCTCTAATAGGATGCTAGTCCAAGTGTGCTCCAGACCAAGAAAGGAATCTGTAACAGGTCCATGCTACAGTATACCAGCCCTGACAATAAGTTCATAAAATCAGGCAGATCTGTGATACAAGAAGATTCTGTGATAAAGATGAAATGTGGAGCCTCAGACAAGTCCAGTAGGACAGTCACAGTGCAGGCCTAGGGTTCTGGGGGTAAATCTATGTCATCTGAAGCAGATAACTAGTTGCCTTTTAAAAAATAGCTCATGGCATGCTACGGGACCCTGGTGAAGACTGAGCATCTAATCATGGGATATGAAATGATCAGGCTCCTAAAACAACCCATTATAAGCTGCATACTATTAGACCCAACAAATCATAAAGTAAAGTGGACCCAGTAGCACTCCATTGTAAAACAGAAATGGCTACAATGGGGCTCAGGCTCCAGACTCAAGAGAACACCAGTCATTTTAGTGAACAAATGGTCCAGGCCCCCACTTCATATACCACTGTTATACTGTCATCTCTCCCTCAGTTCACATCTAAGCCCTCCCTGTGTGTTCCCTAGGACCAAAACCCAAAGCTTAGCTTTGGATGGGTTATGGATGGGTTGCCTCAGTCTGTGATATAAGCCAAAAGTGGACTGTTGTGGCACTGTAGCCCCACTCTGGTCTGGCCCTGAAAGACAGTGATGATGAAAAACACTCAAGTAAGAAATGTAATACTCAGTAATAAAAGAGATAAACTCATAAGCAGTGGCAAATGGTTTGGCTTGTTTGGTCAGAGACCTGGAAGAGTCAAAATTGGAAGGTAGAGGACAAGAAGGTGTGGGGTAGAGGCATGTGGATGCATTCAGAAATTGCCAGCTTCATGGAGCACTGGCACAGCCTCTGGAAGTCACAACTAACGTTTGGAAATGATATCTTATGAGGATGGGACACCACCCTTTAGGAGGGTGCTGTGTCCCTAGCTCCCCAGTTCATAGAATAAACTGGATCTGAGAGACAAGGAGTAGAAGTGGGGTAGTCTCACTCACCATCATTCTTTTTTTTTTTTTTTTTTTTTGAGACCGAGTCTCACTCTGTTGTCCAGGCTGTAGTTCAGTGGCATGACCTCGGCTCACTGCAACCTCCACCTCCCTTCATTGTCATTCTTATTGACTCGTTTAGAGAATTTGTGCTTCCAAATCCCAGTAATTTTAGATTTGTGAGTCTAGGATCTTGAGTTTCATAGGGGAGATACTTCTACCAGGAGACACACTAAGAATTCCTCTAAGCTATAGCTAAGCTATAGCTGTCCCCTAGTATACCAGTAGGCACAAAATGGAGTTGCCTTTTGTCAGGGGTAATTTAAGCCTGATCATCATGAGACAATAGTGCTATGGGATCTTTGGGATGTCACTTTGCCAGCTGGAAACCTTTGTGGCCAATGGCACCTTTGCCCAAATTTTGCTGTGATCCACTGGGCTCATTCTGCCTATTTGGCCTGGCAGGCAGCACTTGGCTGGTGCTATTGGCCTGGATCCCACATCTGCCAAGGACGAGCCAGGCACAGACCAATGAGGGATGTGTGAGTGAGCATGGGATCCAACCACTGCACACAGCCAGGCACACTACCTGCAGAGGAGTGGGCAGCTCCAAGTGCTGGCATGGGTGCCAGCTCCCTGCAAGGCTGCAGCTTGACAGGCATACCATAAACAGCTTCTGGGGAATGTGGTGGTGCCCAGAAGCTTGGAGACACCAGGAACTGCAGAGCCCTAAAAGGGTGTCACAGCCCTGGCTCAGGGAGCTCCTAGGTCTGGGCTCCCCAAAGAGCCACAGCTCTTCTCTCCTTCTCTCTTCTCTCCTTGTCATCCACAATGTGGCAATCAAGGGGCGTGTTTCAGCCCTGTTTGTGTTACAGCTCTTTTAACCCTATCATTTGGCAGGTCCTGAGTTTTTGTCCTGTGACCAGGAAGAATGAGGTATGCAGACAAGTGGAGGGCGAGCAAGGTTAAGAGGAGCTTTATTGAGTGATAGAACAGCTCAGAGGAGACCCGAGTGGGTAGCTCCTTTCTGCAGCCAGGGTGTCCTGATGAGTGTTTGGTTCCTAGTAGAGAAGAAACCCTAGAGTGGGTAGCTCCTCTCTGCAGGCAGGTCATCCCATTGAGTGTTCAGTTCCTAGCAGAGAGGAAACCCTATAGTGGGCAGGTGCTCTCTACAGGCAGGTTGTCCCATTATCTACTCAGCTCTCAGCAGAGAAGGTAGCCCCTCTCTGCAGCTGGTTGGCCCATTATGGCCCCAGAGGGGAGAAAGTGCATGCCAGTTGGTCCATGGGTGCCCATAGGTGGGCTCAGAAAAAGCACTACAAGTTCCAATTTCAGTTTGCGGGACCAGTAGCCCAGCACCAAGGCTTCAGGCCTTCCCAGCTTGAAGGTGGGGCTTCACCAGGGGCCTGCACCTTTCTGCCCTGGAGCCTCTCTACCTCCTGCTGCTCTTCATGGTGTCCATGCTGTTCATGCCGAGGGGCACCTGCAGGCCAACATCAAGCTGCCCTCAGCAACCCCCCTCGGCCTTTCTCCCATGCTTATTGGTGCCCAAAGTCTGGAGGGGGCCAAGGTGGCAGGGCTTCTGCCTGTTCCCAGCTCCCAAGAGCACAGGGGTGCCCAGGTTGCAGCCGCAGCTTGGGCGGCTCCTTCCCTGCCAACTTAGAAGCGGCAGGCCTCCCACTTGTTCCCAGCTCCTGTTGGCTTCATGGAATGCACAGCTCTGGCTGCACCCCCTCTCTGTGTTTTCCCCACAGCCGCAGTAGGCAAAGAGCAGGTGGCATGGTGGCCCCAGCCAACCCTGCACAAATGAACCCAATGCGACCAGGGACAGCAGTGTGTCTTGACTGTGCCTTCAGCCAGGTGCTTGTGGGCTCCCAGGATGAAGCAGGGAGTGAGGTTGAGGCCATAGTAAAGGCTCAGTGCCTGGTAGTGGGTCCTGCCTGGCCATGCGAGACTGGGGGTAGTGCGGTCAGCTGCCTCGCAGACACGGAGCACAGAGGTCCCATCACCGCCACTGCTGCTCTCACAGCCACTCCTGCTGCCACCACCTGCACCTCCCTTCTGCAGCTGGCAGAAGGCCACTGCAGAATAGGCAGAATAGGACTGCAGAATAGGACATCAATAGGCAGAAGTCCTACTGATGGCAGTGGCCACTCCAGACAGCCCGCCACTGCATCAATAGGACTGTTTTTATATAATGGGAGTAGGGAGAAATATGCCTTTTGTACTCTCATAACCAGCTTTAATTGTAAATCATTAAATATGCATAAATCAGGAAGGTCTTTTAAGGGCCTGGCAACCAGGCCTCAGACCACTCAGGGGTCTATGCTTAAGACTCAGTCTTGCTGTGGATGTATCCTTGATCCTAATTTCACTAGGATGTTTTGTAAGTCAACAGTGACGAATTTGCCAAACACCTTTTTGACATATACTGAACAGTTTGTGAGATTCTTTTTTCTCTTTAATCTAAAATTAGGTAAAGTATATTAGTAGATTATTTAATATCAACTATTTTACATTCCTAAAAATGTTACCTTGTTGTTGGTTTAATTCTTTTAGTGCACTACTGATTTGATATGCTGATATGTGGAATCTTTGCCTCTGCATTTACAAGTGAAATTAGCTTAGAAAGTTTTTTGTATACTAACTTTGTCAGGATTTGATATCTGAGTTATACTTGTAAAATTTAGAAAACATTTCTCCTTTCTCTATTCTATGGGAAAACTAAATGACATAAAAATTATCTGTTCCTTAAAGGCTTAAAGTGATGTAAACTATTTCTCTTACATAGCAATCTAAGGCCACACATTTTTTGGCAGTAATTCTCAATTTCTTCTATGGTTCTCTATCTATTCATGTTTTCTATCTCATCTTGAGCCAGTTGCTAATTTACTTTTCCACTAGAACATTTATTTCATGGAAGTTTTCTAATTTAATAGGAGAAATTGTACAAAATATTCTTTTATATTTCTTTGGTTTCTTGATATTTGTTGTTAATTGTTGATTTTCTCCCCACATTTTGTGTATTTTTTTAAATTTACTTCCCATTTAGAATAGTCTTTATCCCATTAAAAAAATCAGTTCTTGGAATCATTTATAAATTCTAGCTTTCCACTTCTTAATTCATGCTGTTCTTCTTTTGACTTTATTACTACCTTTCCTACTTCCTTCCGCCATTTGAGTACAACTTGACTTTCCAGGCTCTGCTCTCACTGCAATCCAGCATGCACACTAAACTCCTCCCACCCCAGACTGCTTCTATTGGCTGAACATTTTATGTGCCTTTCTACCCTGTACTTTAGTCCACAATGATCCCCTGGCCTCTTTTTTCCAATAATTTATGCCTTCTGAAATCCTTCTAGAGCCTGTGCAAAAGCCACTCTCTGTAATACACTGGTTTTGTATTGTAGTGCTCCTCTCATTCTACCTTGTAATATAATTCTGTATCCTTGTCTAATTCCAAGACCAGAATATGTAGACTACTTGAAGGTGCTGTAAGTTTTCTTCTTTTTAGCTTCTATTTTTGTGTGCTACTAAGAAATCTACATGTTTGCTTTTTGTTGTTGAATTAAATTGAATAAGTCGGTCCTTGCTTGGTCTTCAAGCAATAGTGTGCAGAGAGGTATCTGTTAAAATTGCACACAGGACAAATGATCATGTAAATGTTTCTGCTGATGATCCAACCCTCCCATCAAACTGGTTATTAAGTAAGTGAGCATTTTACCTTCATTAAGACGTATTCTCTAACTTTGTATTTCCAGTTGTGTCATCAGACAGGAATTATTATCTGAGGCTAGAAAATATTTAAAGAAGAAATATGGAGAAAATTAAGAACTTTTCTTTACTGAAATGGACTAGAATCCACTGATTTCATATAAGATAATCACAGAAAACAACATTTCAATTCCTTAAATTAATTAATAATCACACCAAAAAAACCTCTACATAAAAGAAATCAGCAGTGAGACCATAACTAGATAAATGCACGTATGTCAGGATTTTGACATTTCTTTTGTAGTTATGAATAAATGATTCATTCAATGTTATTATAACAGATCAGTCTGTACCAGTCTTTTGCCAGCCACATCCACTTCTAATCAGTGGAAGAGTTCAATGCAGGGCCCAGGAGTAAAGTTCCATCTCCAGAACTATTATAGAAATGATAGACAACCTCCCCCACTTCAAATAAAAAACTTAGAAGTACTGGATGAACTAGAACAATGCCTGTTTCAAATGCATGGCTGAATTTGCAAAAAAAACAAACAAACAAACAAAAAAAAACGGTAAGGGAAACCTCTCAAGGTAAAAAATGACAAAGAAACAGGAAACCATGAGATCATTTGCTGGTCTCAATAACAGAAAGCCTTTTAAAAATAATTACTTAGATAAATTTAAATTTATTGTGATTTATTTTACGGCTCATTTAATGGTCTACCTTGGTAAATATTCTGTGTTCACCTGAAAAAAATGTGTATCCTCCTGTGACAGCTAGTTTTATGTGTCAAGTTGGCTAGAGTATAGTATTCAATCATTCAATCAAACACTAATTTAAACATTGCTGTGAAGGTATTTTGTATGTGATTAATAACTACAATCAGTTGATTTTAAGTAAAGGAGATTATTCTCAATAAAGAAGATGGGCCTCACTCAATCGGCTGAAAGGCCTTAAGAGAAAAAGTGAGGATTTCCGGAGTAAGAAAAAAAATTCTCTTTAAGGCTGCAGCATTAGTTGCATTAGTTTCTGCCCAAGAGTTTGCAGACTACAAGTCCACCCTAAAAATTTCAAACTTAACAGCTTCCACAATTGCAATAATCAATTCCTTGAAATAACACACACACACATACACACACACACGTACATACACACATAAATATACATACTTTCCATACTTTCTACTCATTACGTTTCTCTGGTGGAACCCTGACTGATACAGATTTGGTACCATAAGTGGTCCTCAAGAAACAGAAGCTTAAGGATAAATTTTCAGAATTGTTTCGGGGTTTTCTGGAATTGGTCATCTAATCTAGTTAGATTTAAAAGCACTAATGACTATATTTCTAGTGCTAGAGGGCACACTGATAGTCCATGGCATGAAGTAACAATAGAGATATGCGAAAATGTCACAACTGGATAATCCTAGTCAAATACTTATAAAAGGCAAGGTCTGAGTGATCATGTATTTGATACTTTAGAACATTTACATATAACAAGATTGGCTCGTTTCTCCTAATTTGCTGCCCAAATGGATAAAGAAAAAGATGAGTTCAGGGCTTCAAATTCTCAACTTAAACTATGTGAATGAACTGGAAGTTTCTATGTCTGCCGTGAAAGAACCCCCTATCTTCTCAGCAAGGCTGAAGTTTCCAGATACCAAAACTTATCCCGTAAGAGGCTGAATGACAACACAAATTGAATTCCTAACCTGTCAGAGTATCCTCTGCTGGAGTGAGGTTCTTGATTGAAAAGGAAAGGGGTCCTGAAAATTGGAATGTGAACATATAGGCAAAAGCTGAGGAAACTGAGCACATAAAATTTCTAAAGTCTCCTAAGTCTTTGCCCATAGAAGCAGCCCTCCCACCCCTGTTTGAAGTGGTTAATCCCCTGCTTTGCCTGAAGAAACTGTAATGATTTTTCTTCAACTAGTTGCCTTAAAAGACACTTTCTATTCTCCTCAGGATCTTCCCCCTCACTCCTCTTTGCTTCCAGACTTATAACTAGACTTGAGTCCCTGCAGGGCCCAAAAAGTGAGGTAGAGTGTGACCCACAAGAAGTTACACCACACACCAAAATATCTATATGATTTTTCCAATATATACAGTTATAAATCTGGACAATATGTATAGGAATGAATATTAAGGATGTGGAATAATGAAAAAGACAAAGCTGAATGAGGCCAAATTATTGATATGAATCCACTTAGGCAGAGATTCTAGATTCAGTGCTGTAGCTCCAGGCATTAGAAAGGGCTCTGTGTGTGTTGGTCAGTTCTTGCACTGCTATCAAGAAATACCTGAGACTGGGTAATTTATAAAGAAAAGAGGTTTAGTTGGCTCATGGTTCTTCAGGCTGTATGGGATGCATGGTGGCATCTGCTTCTGGGAGGGCCTCAGGGAGCTTTTACTCATGGCAGAAGGCAAAGCCAGAACAGGCATGTTCACATGGCCAGAGCAGGAGGAAGGGGTTGTGGGTGGGAGATGCTACACACTTTTAAACAACCAGATCTCATAACTTACTCACTCACTATCATGCAAACAGCACTGAGGTAATGGTGCTAACACATTCATAAGAATGTCACCTCCATGATCCAATCACCTCCCACGAGACCCCACCTCCCATACTGGGGATTACAATTAGACGTGAGATTTAGTGAGGACACAGACCCAAACTGTATCACTATTCATTTGTTTAGTGACCTTAAACATGGACCAAATTGTGGTCTACACTAAATAAAAATAAAATATCAGAACTGCTTCAGTATATGGAAAAATGAGAGTGCCAGAGGAAAAAAGTACCAGAATCTGCATATAAACTCTCCCCACTTCTTGCTAGAATTCTAGCTAGAAAAACTGAAATTGTTTGCTGGGTGTTAATACATGAACAATGTCATTTCTTCCTGGAAAAAATATGCTGATTGTGACTGTGATTATTAAATAAATTATATACATATTTTATATTTATTATTGTCATTATTATTTAAAAGTAATTGTGGTTGTTTTGATTCTTAGGAGCTATTAGCATCACACAGTCCAGAGCTATTTCATAACCACAGATCTGCTCCTTAATCCCAATCAGGGATCCGGAATGTATGTTAGTGATAGCAAGAGAAAAGAGGAAAAATATATTGATGGTTTGATATGGTTTGGCTCCCCACCCAATCTCATTGTAAATTGTGATCCTGAGTGGGGCCTGGTCGGGGGTGACTGGATCATGGGGTGGTTTCTAATGGTTTAGCACCCTCCCCCTAGTGCTGTCTCATGATAGAGTTCTCACAAGATCTGCTTGTTTAAAAGTGTGTAGCACCTCCTCACCTTCTGCTGGCCATTTGAAGACATGCTTGCTTCCCCTTCACATTTCCACCATGATTGTAAGTTTTTTGAGGCCTCCTCAGCCATGCTTCCTGTACAGCCTGTGGAACAGTGAGCCAATTAAACCTCTTTTCTTTATAAATTACCCATTCTTGGGTAGTTCTTTATAGCAATGTGAGAATGAACTAATACATGGTTACTTAATGCCCAAAGAATAGGCAGAGGCACAGCTCAAACCTGTATGGAGCCTAGAAGATTTCTCATGTGGGGCAGGTGCAGCAAAACACAGCCATATGCAGTCATCGCCAAGGTTTGCCATCTTTTTCTGAGTGATTCTAGCCCTTGCTGACTGCCAGGCTGGCAGAAGGAAAGGCTGCCTTTCCCACAGGACTAGGGTGTATCTAATCTACCCTTGTCCACCAGCCCCACCCAAGGCCCATGCCTTGCCACTCCTGAAATAGGGTGCACACAGCACAGCCTCCATTTCTCCACCTGGGTGTTTTGCAGTGGTCCAGGAGCAGTTTGGCCCCCCCGGAACACCTGGTGCTCAATCCTGAGGTGTCAGAGGATAAAACCATGCACTCGATCCCAAAGTCCAGGGTTCAAGCACACCACCCAGAGGTATCAAGATGAGATCTGTGGCCTAAGTTCAAGCCAGAGAGGAGCCCCCACTCTCAGAACACTGAGAAGAGTAAGGAGTAGGTTTGTGTTTTGGCATAGTAGTTGGGCATCCCTTTATCTGTGAGACTGATCAAGTAAGGGTTTAGCCTGTTGGCCAGCTTCAGCTTCTGCCCAAGGGATCTCCACGGCCCACAACATCTGGAACACCTCAGTGATCTAGACACAGAAGGCTTGGGACAAAACTAGCTGGTTGGGCCTGCTCCTGGGACCAACATCAGAGGGAAAACTGGTCAGGAGAGCACACAAGCTGGGTGGTCTTCACCACCATGTTCTGGGAAAAGAATCTCAGGCTACAGGCACCACAGCAGTGTTGCGGGAAGTCAGGGACCCTGAATGGAGGGACCAGCTGGAGCCGTGGCAGAGGAACATAAACTGTGAAGATTTCATGGACATTTATCAGTTCCCAAATAATACTTTTATAATTTCTTATGCCTGTCTTTAATTTCTTAATCCTATTATCTTCATAAGCTGAGGATTTACATCACCTCAGAACCACTGTGATAATTGTGTTAACTGTACAAATTGACTGTAAAACATGTGTGTTTGAACAATATGAAATCAGTGCACCTTGAAAAAGAACAGAATAACAGTAATTTTTAGGGAACAAGGGAAGACAACCGTAAGTAAAGTCTGACTGCCTGCGGGGTCGGGCAAAAAGAGCCATATTTTTCTTCCTGCAGAGAGCCTATAAATGGGTGTGAAAGTAGGAGAGATATCACTAAATTCTTTTCCTAGCAAGAAATATTAATATTAATACCCTGGGAAAGGAATACATTCCTGGGGGAAGGTCTATAAACGGCTGCTCCGGGAATGTCTGTCTTATGCGGGAGATGCGCCTGGTCTTCTGCAGTACCCTCAGGCTTACTAGGGTGGGGAAAAACTCCGCCCTGGTAAATTTGTGGTCAGACCGGTTCTCTGCTCTCGAACTCTGTTTTCTGTTGTTTAAGATGTTTATCAAGACAATACATGCACCGCTGAACATAGACCCTTATCCATAGTTCTGCTTTTGCCCTTTGCCTTGTGATCTTTGTTGGACCCTTATCAGTAGTTCTGCTTTTGCCTTTTGTCCTGTTCCCTCAGAAGCATGTGATCTTTGTTAAACCTGCTCTGAGTCTGCCAAGCTCAGAGGACCAGCGGGTCTCCAAGGAGTTGTGGGCCTCCTGGTAACCTAAACTTTGCCCTAGACAGGAAGAGAGAGTAAGCAACTTAGAAAACATATTTGAGGATATAGTCAACAAAAATTTACCCAATCTCACTAAAGAGGTCAACGTGCAAATTTGAGAAATTCAGACAACTGCAAGATACTACACAAGATGACCATCTCCAAGACACATAGTCATTAGACTTTCCAAGGTCGATGTGAAATAAAAAAATCTTAAAAACAGCTGGAGAAAAGGGCCAGCTCACTTACAAAGAAACCCCATCAGATTAAGAGCAGACATCTCAGCAGGATGCTTATAAGCCAGAAGAGATTGGGGTCTATTTTCAGTATCTTTAGAGAAAAGAAATTCCAACCAAGGATTTCATACTCTCCAAACTAAGCTTCATAAGCAAAGAGAAATACAATCTTTCCTAAGCAAGCAAACACTAAGAGAATTCATTGCCACTAGGCCAATCTTACCAGAGATCCTTAAGGGAGTTCTAAATGCGGAAATTTAAGAACAATGTCTGTTACTACAAAGACACACTTAAGACATAGCCCTATAAAGAAACTACACAATCAAGACTATAAAGCAACCAGCTAATGACATCACAACAGAGTCAAGACTTCACATATCAATATTAATATGGAATTAACCTAAATGTGCCACTTAAAAGGCACAGAGTGGCAAGTTGGATAAAAGAACAAGACCTAACCATCTGCTGTCTTCCAGAGACCTATCTCACACAGACCTAACAACACACACAGGCTGAAAGTAAAGGGGTGGAAAAAGATCTATCACACAAACGGAAAACAAAAAAGAGCAGGGGTCACTATTCTTATATCAGGCAAAACAGAATTTAAACGAACAACAATAAAAATGGGACAAAGAAAAGCATTACATAATGATAAAGGGTTCAAATCAAAAAAAGAATTAACTATCCTAAATATATACATGCCTGACATTGGAGCACTCAGAATAAAAATAAAAAGTATTTCTAATCCTGTGGAAAGACTTAGCCACTTAATAATAGTTGGAGACTTCAACATCCCACAGACAGTGTTAGATCATCAAGGCAGAAAACTAAGAAAGGAATTCTGGTCTTAAATGTAATATTTGATCAATTGGGCCTAACAGACATCTACAGACAACTCCACTCAACAACCACAGAATATCCATTTTTCTCATCTACATATGGAACGTGCTCTGAGGTCAGCCACATGCTCAACCACAAAACAAGTATCAATAAATTAAAAAATGTCAAAATCATACCAACCATACTCTCACACCACAGTGGAATAAAAATAGAAATCAATATCAAGCATGTCTCTGAAAACTATACAATTACATGGAAATTAAACAACTTGATCCTCAATAAGTTTTGGGTAGACAATAAAATTAAGGAAGAAATCAAAAACTGTTTAAAATTAATTAAAACAGAGGCATGACATATAAAAATCCCTGAGATCCAGCAAAAACAGTATTAAGAGAAAAGTTTATAGTGCTAAACACCTACATCAAGAAGTTAGAAAGATCTCAAATTAACAATCTAACATTACACTTAGAAGAACTAGAAAAGGCCGCGCGTGGTGGCTCACGCCTGTAATCCCAGCACTTTGGGAGCTGAGGGGGGTGGATCACAAGGTCAGGAGTTCAAGACCAGCCTGGCCAGTATGGTAAAACCCTGACTCTACTAATAATACAAAAATTAGCCAGGTGTGGTGGCGGGTGCCTGTAATCCCAGCTACTCAGGAGGCTGAGGCAAGAGACTCTCTTGAACCCAGGAGGCAGAGGTTGCAGTGAGCCAAGATGGCACCACTGCACTCCAGCCTGGGCAATAAGAGCTAAAATCCGTCTCAAAAATAAATAAGTAAATAAATAAATAAAAAGAAGAGGAAGTTGAAGAAGAACTAGAAAAACAAGAATAAACTAACCCCAAAGCCAGCAGAAGAAAATAAATCACTAAAATCAGAGCAGAACTGAATGAAATTGAGATCCAAAAATCTATACAAAGCATCAACAAAACCAAAAGGTGACTCCTTGAAAAGACAAACAAGGTCAATAGAGTACTAGCTGGATTAACAAAGAAAAAAAAAGAGGAGGTTCAAATAACTACAATCAGATATTACACAGGTGACATTACAATTGATCTCACAGAAATACAAAATGTCCTCGGAGACTATTATAAACACCTCTATGCACACACACTAGAAAAATCTAGAAGAGATTGATGAATTCCTGAAAATACACAACCTCCCAAGATTGAATCAGGAGAAATTGAAACCCTAAGCAAACTAATAACAAGTTCTCAAATTGAATCAGTAATTTTAAAAATCTACCAACAAAAGCAGCCCAGGACCACTTTTAGGTCACAAAATTTTAGTTTCACTTCAATCCCAGCCCCCAATTACTCTGAATTCAGCCAGTCACCTAGTCAGTACACCACTGGGATAAGGCAACTCAGAAGGAGTTTTGCTGGATAATGTACACATTTATCACTGCTGCTAGGACAAGTCAAGAAACACCTTATAAGTAAGTAGATCAAGAGTATCCTCATAATCATTGAAAGAAAGCTTTATTTTCAGCTGAAAATGTCACAGTATCAGACTTACCAGACACCATGATAATGATGGAAATCAGTAATCTTGGAGCTGACATCTTCCCTAAAGTATGCTTTTGGAGTGGTTTTCTACTTAAACATAAATCCACTTTAAATCAATCAACAGACTTGGTGAATCTGTTTCTCTTGGTCACTTTTGCTTATTCTGTCTTCAACAGGATTGCAAAACATATTTCTTCATTATCTTGCTTATCTTTAATTTTTGCTGTCATTCTATATGTTTTTGACTGATTAACCACTGATGGGAAATGTCAGTGAGTTTTGCTGTGTAATAAAGCAAAAAAGCCAATGCTTACTACTCATTGCTTCTCCCACAACATTGAAGTAGCAAGATAAACTATATAACAACTCATTTAAAAAGTAGCATTTTGAGAGTATAAATTACATATGGTAAAATGAACAAATCTTGAGTGTATGGTTTGATGAATTTCTACCTATATATGCGCTTATCTAATTACTTCCAAAACCAAGATGTTGATAATTATTATTCAAAGTGTCCTTTGTTCCAAAGTGTCCTTTGTTCCTTCTCTGCTGATATCATCTCCTCCAGAGAAGTTGAGTAAACACTACTCAGACTTCTAATAGCTTTAATTCATTCTGACAGTTTTTGAACTTCACATGCATGAAATTCTTTGCAAATTTCAATTTTTAATGCTGTATAGTAAATTTTCAATAACTATATCACAATTTATTCATCAATTTCTCTGTAGATTTACATTATCCCAGTTTGGGGCTAACATAAAGCTTCTAAGAACATTCTTGTTTTGTACATAATTTTTGGTCTATGTGTACATTCATTTTCTTGGATATACACCTAGGAATTAAATTGTTGGGTTATAAGATAGTCATATGTGTGTCTTTAATAACTACTTTCAGTCATGGTTGAATAGTGCAACCCCCGCCCAACATTTATTTGTTGAAATTCTAATCCCCAGTACCTCAGAAGATGACCTTATTTGGAAATAGGGTCATTGGAGATATAATTAGTTAAGATGTGGCCATGCTGAAATAGATTGGTCCCTAATCCAATATGACTGGCGTCTTTGGTTTATTCTTTTTTTCTTCTTTTGCACTTCTTAGCTTTTTATGGTGTCCTTATAAAAAGAGGAAAACTGGGCGCATACACAGGAACACCATGTGAAGATAAAAGGCAGAGATCTGAGTGATGTTTCTTCTACAAGCCAAGGAAAACCAAAGGTTGCCAGGAAACCACTGGAAACTAAGACCGAAGCAAAGATTCTACCCTTCTGTTTTATAAGATTAAAGATTCTTTTGATGACAGGACACAACATGAAGACTCTTGGATAGGTGAAAGGCAAACCTCTTTGTTACTTATAGCTCCAAACAAGAGAAGAATTCCATGTAGGGCCACACAGTGGTTGCACACAGGGACAGGGTAACAACACACTGGAGCTGTAGAGAGTACCTTATATATGGTAATTGGAGTAGAATTAGGTTTCCTGAGAACCCTGTGCCTTAGCTAATTTGAATAACTTCACAAGCTCTAGGACATAGCTGTCCATGGGGCTGTTTGTAGTTGTCTGGTACTTAGCCCTGGGCAATTAGGGCAGGTATATAGTGACATACAGTGTGAGAACCAGATAAGGGAAGAGGCTGGGGGGACTTAAATCAGATATTCAAGAAGGGGAGCTAACTGTTAGGGGCTCAAAACTGGGACTAGAAGGCATTTTTTTTTTACATGAAAACTATATTAAAATTGACTTCTTGATCTCCACATTAGTGTTAAGCTTGATTACTTGAATTATTTGGGTGGCCTAAGTTGTAGAGCAGAGTTTTAGTAAGTAGTGCATACATTGCCCTAAATAGCACACACACACAAAAATTTTATTATTTTCTCCTTAAAAAGGAGGAAAACAAGTAGGAGTATAAAGAGTCCTTGTAGGCTGGTTCATAACCAAGTTTCACATTGTATGGCCTTAGCCAAGAAAACAGATCCGGGATTTCCAAGATCTCTAACAATATCCTGATTGACTTAAAGTATGTTAAAACATGAGCTATATTTTTGTGTGCGTGACGGTAATCTCTTGGTACATTCCAGGGTTCAAGGTGGCAGGTCCAACAATTATATTTTTGGAGAGTATGAAGTTAGTTAAGTAAGGTATATGTAAAGATTAATGACGTTTGTAACCTAGAGGAAGAGGTAGCAGCTGTGGGTCATGGGTGCAGGGCAGGATGTTGTGGTGGCAAACTGGAATGGAAAGTGTCAGAGGAGGTAATGGGCAATGGGAGGTCCTCTCTCCAGGGGGTTAAGTGGTGAACCCATATGAGGCAGTTGCTTCCTGGGGAAAGCAATAATCTCATTAATTATTAGAATGGCTCAAAGAGTAATACACTCTACCAGATTTTCCTTTAGGCATGGAAGTATAAAGGGGTACACTTTGGCAAAGAACAAGAGTTTAAGCAAATGGTGAACTCAGGAAACGAAACAGAATTTCTTATATCAAAGGAAGTAAAATGATAAATGTCCTGTGTCCAATTTTTTAGCTCCTTAGGAAAGCCAGCCTATGGATGTTGCTGGGGTGGTGGTCTCAGTGTCCAGGGTGAAGTCGTTTCTGGGGAAAAGGGCAAATTCATCTTCAAGGTCAAAGTCTTGGGCCGAAGTAATATCATCTATAATGTGAAACTGAAACTGGAACTGTGATGTGGGACATCCTTTTCAAATGATCACAAACTTGAGTTGATGTGGGTCTTATTTTTGTGGCTCTGTGGTACTATAACGAGGCTGAACCACATGTGGAATATGAAGGCAATGTTAGGCCTAGGGGCTTGATATGCAAATATCATTTAAGTCAAGGAGCTTTGAGGTGCACAGTTAGCAAAGGTGAGGTCAGTATCCATGATACTGCTGTTATGTATCAAAGCACTAGAACTGAATGGCATAATTAAAGCCTCAATTAAGTGTGGCTGAATTTAAAATTCCCAACAGCCCAAGGTTTTCAGTTATGAAATAGGTTGTGCTGCAAACAGATCTTCAATCAGGGATTTCTCTTCCAAGATGGCCAACTAGAAACAGCCAGGAGGAATATCTTCCACTGAGACACCCGGGCATTGGAAAGGCTGGCACACTTCTAGCCCTTCTTCAGAGGGAAGGCACTGAGAGCAGATGGAGGGAAGAAGCAGATGCTGGGCTGAAGGGGGAGGAAGATGGAAATGCTGCATGGAGCTATGGAACACTAGAACTCATTCCTGGCCCCCAGTGACTCCTGCAAGGTGATGATGGGTTAAACAGGCAAGGAGCAACCCAGTTTCACCATGGGCCTCTGGAATCCCAGCAGGAGAAGACCCCTGGACCACCACGGACACTTGAACTGATAGAAAGACCTGCTTAGAGAAGTGATAGAAGCAGAGCTCCTGCTGGTGTGAAGCCCAGAGAGTTTGGTTCTAGAGCATCTGTAGTGAAGCACAGCCAGGGTTACCCATACCCTTAGGCTCAACTTGCTGCCACAGGAGACTTTGTCCCTAGGGTAACTGTTGGACCTTAACTCTGCAGGGTGGTCTTGCCCATGAGATGGGGCTGGTTTGACCTGAGCACCCCTCAGTCTACTGGCCTCTCCCAGGGCTCCAAGTACCAGGTACCTCTTGGCGGCTCAGATCATAACTTCTGCACTGGTGGACCATGCCTGACTGGCAGAGTGCTCCAGCAGAGCAGACCCTGCAGACACACACCAGCTCGCCTGCACCCTCCCCCATCCATAGGCTCACTTGTGTCACTTTGCTGCCAGCCCTCCCCCACCAACATTACTTTGCTGGTGCACGTGTGCACCAGGGGACCTTCCCTTCCCTTACACACTACCATGTGTGTGCACATGCACCCTGCCCTGTCACTGCTGCAAATGTGAGTGCACCCCGCTCCTACCCTTTGCTGAACAGCCATTGTCATTGGAGCATTGGCAGGCACGGAGCACACTAGACCTGCCCCCACCTGCAACTACCCTGTTCTGACACTGCCACCAGAGAGAAACTATGGAGGGAGAAAAGCAGAACCACCCCTGTCCTGAGCAGCCAAGGCTGCCAGTGTGAACTCTTGCAGAGGGCACACACAGTTCTGCATCTGCCAGTAACCTGTCCCCATGCTAACACCATGAATGGCACAAATGAGTGCACAGACACTGGCAGGGGCCCTGCACCCCTGAGCTATGATCCCACCATACTGCTGCAAACAACCACATGGAGGCTGGCAGCCTGGCACCAACTAGCACCCTGGTAAAGTCCATGAGTGTGCACCCTGACATGCTGCCACTGTCACTGTTGCTGGTACATGTGAACCAGGATGGATCCCACTGCTACTGCCCTATGGAGTGGTTTGCCTGGCACCACCCATTAGAGTGTTGTAACCATTAGAGTGTTGTGACCAGCTTGGAGCACCATGGCCCCTCCAGTGCAGCAGGTTCCTTCCTAACCTCAAGAAGCCAAAGAACAAAACCAGGACCCAATAATAGAACCCCAGAGTTAGAGCATGAAGTCCAGGGGTCCTGAGCTGAGCCTTGGACCTCTAAAACATTCCAGAAATGAAGCCACCTTATACCACAAACAAACCCCTAATATCATCAAATAGGGTAAAAGAAAAAGAAAGCCCATCCAAAGGACAGCAGCTTCAAAGATCGAAGGAACATTGGTCCACAAAGATGAGAAAAAAGCAGCACAAGAACTCTGACAACTACAAAAGCCAGAGCATCTTCTTTCCTCCATATGATCACACTAGTTCTTCAAGAAGAGTTCTTAACTCAGCTGAGATGGCTCAAATGACAGAAAAAGAATTCAGAATATGGATAACAACAAAGATTGTTGAGATTCAGGAGAATGTTGAAACTCAAACTAAGGAAACTAAGGATCGCAATAAAATGGTACGGGAGCTGACAGACAAAATAGCCAGTATAGAAAAGAATGTAACCAACTTAATAGATCTGAAACCACACTAAAATAATTTAATAATGCATTCATAAGTATGAAGAGCAGAATACAAAAAGCTGAGGAAAGAAACTCAGAGCTTGAAGACTGGCTTTTTAAAGTAAGACAGACAAGAATAAAAATAGAGAAAATGAAAAGGAACAAACAAACCTCCAAGAAACATGGGATTATGTAGAGAGGCCAAATCTACAACTCATTGACATCCCTGAAAGAGATGGGGAGAATAGAAGCAACTTGGAAAACATTTTTCAGGATATCATCTATTAAAATTTACCAAATCTAGCTAGAGAGACCAACATTCAAATTCAGGAATACAGAGAACCCCCACAAAACACTTCACATAAAGATCATCCTCAAGACACAAAATCATCAGAATCTCCAAGGTCAAAATGAAAGAGAAAAATGTTAAAGGCAGCTAGAGAGAAAGGACTGGTCACCTACAAAGGGAAGCCCATGAGAATAACAGCAGGCCTCTCAGCAGAAAACCTACAAGCCAGAAAATATTGGGGGTCTATATTCAACATTCTTAGAAATTCCAACCAATGATTTCATATCCAGCCAAACTAAACTTCATAAGCAAAGGAGAAATAAGATCCTTTTTAGACAAGTAAATACAGAGAGAATCTGGTACCACAAGACCTGGCTTACAAGAGCCCCTAAAAGAAACACTACGTATGGAAAGAAAAGACTGGTTATCAGCCACTACAAAAACACACTTAAGTACACAGACCAGTGACACTATAAAGCAACCACACAAACAAACCAGCATAATAACAACCTAATAACACAATGACAGCATTAAAGCCACATATAGCAATACTAACCTTGAATGTAAATGGGTTAAATGTCTTAATTAAAAGGTATGGAGTGGAAACCTGGATAAAGAAGTAAGACCCAATGGTGTGCTGTCTTCAAGAGATCCATCTCACATGCAATGACATCCATAGGCCCAAAATAAAGGAGTGGAGGAAAATCTACCAAGCAAACAGAAAACAGAAAAGAAGCAGGGGTTGTGATCTTAATTTCAGACAAAACAGACTTTAAACCACCAAAGATTTAAAAAGGCAAAGAAGGGCATTACATAATGGTAAAGGGTTCAATTCAACAAGAAGACTTAACTAACCTAACTATATTAAATATACATGCACTTAACACAGGAGAACCCAGATTCATAAAGCAAGTTCTTAAAGACCTTCAAAGAGACTTAGACTCCCAAATAATAGTAGTGGGAGACTTCAATACCCCCTGACAGTAATCGACAGATCCTCAAGGCAGAAAATTAACAAAGATATTCAGGACCTGAACTCAATATTGAACCAAATGATCCTGACAGACATCTACAGAATGCTTCCCCAAAAAACAACAGAATATATATTCTGCCCATCACCAGTTGGCACATACTCTAAAATCAACCACACAATTGGATATAAGACATTCCTCAGCAAATGCAAAAGAACCAAAATCATACCAACCACTCTCAGACCACAGCACAACAAAAATATAATTCAAGACAAAGAAAATCAATCACCACCATACAATTACATGGAAATTAAACAACTTGCACCTGAATGACATTAGGGTAAATAATGAAATTACAGTGGAAATCAGGATGTTCTTTGAAACTAATGAGAACAAAACTACAACATACTAGAATCTCTGGGACACAGCTAAGGCAGAGTTAAGAGGGAAATTTATAGCACTAAATGCCCACATCACAAAGTTAGAAAGATCTCAATTTTAAAAATGAGCATTACAACTAAAAGAACTAGAGAAGCAGGAGCAAACCAACCCCAAAGCTAGCATAAGACAAGAAATAACCAAAACCAGAGCTGAACTGAAAATAGCCTTGGAGACACAAAAAATTGCAATCAAAAAGGACAAAAGGAATATTACCACTGACCCCATAGAAATACAAATAACCATCAGAGATGACTATGCACACCTCTACGCACACAAACTAGAAAATCTAGAAGAAATGGATAAATTCCTGGACACATACACCCACCCAAGACTGAACCAGGAAGAAAAGGAATTCCCAAACGGACCAATGACAAGCTTTGAAATTAAATCAGTAATAAGTAGCCTACAAAACAGGAAAAGCCCTGGACTGGATGAATTCAAAGCCAAATTCTACCCCATGTAACAAAACAGAGCTGGTACCATTCCTACTGAAATTATTCTAAAACATTGAGGAGGAGGGACTCCTCTCTAGCTTATTCTATGAGGCCAGCATCATCCTGATGCCAAAATCTGGCAGACAGAATGGAAAAACAGAAAAAGAAAACTTCAGGCCAATATCCTTGATGAACATAAATGCAAAAATCTCCAACAAAATACTAGCATACCAAATACAGCAGCACAATAAAAAGCTAATCCACCATGATCAAGTAGGCTTTATCCCTGGGATGCAAGGTGTGTTCAACATACAGTAAACAATAAACACGATTCATTACATAAGCAGAACTAATTACAAAAGCCACATGATCATCTCAATAGATACAGAAAAGGCTTTTGATAAAATTTAACATTGCTTTATGTTAAAAACTCTGAAGAAATTAGGTATTGAAGGAACATACTCAAAATAATAAGAGTCATCTATGACTAACCCGCAGCCAACATCATACCAACTGGGCAAAAGCTGGTAGCATTTCCCTTGAAAACCGGCACAAAATAAGGATGCCCTCTCTTACCACTCCTATTCAACATAACACTGGAAGTCCTGGCCAAAGCAATCAGGCAAGAGAAAGAAATAGGCTGGGCGCAGTGGCTCACACCTGTAATCCCGGCACTTTGGGAGGCCGAGGCGGGCAGATCACGAGGTCAGGAGATCGAGACCATCCTGGCTAACATGGTGAAACCCCGTCTCTACTAAAAATACAAAAAAAAAAATTAGCTGGGCACGGTGGCAGGCGCCTGCAGTCCCAGCTACTTGGGAGGCTGAGGCAGGAGAATGGCGTGAACCCGGGAGGCAGAGCTTGCAGTGAGCCGAGATCATGCCACTGCACTCCAGGCTGGGCAACAGAGCGAGACTCCATCTCAAAAAAAAAAAAAGACATCTAAATAGGAAGAGAGGAAGTTAATCTATCCCTATTTGTAGATGACATTATTCTATATTTAGAAAACCCCCCAGTCTCAGCCCAAAAGACCCTTAAGCTGACAAACAACTGATAAACAGCAAAGTTTCAGGATATGAAAATTACTAGTATTTCTATATAGTAACAACAGCCAATCCAAGAGCCATATCAGAAATGTGATCCCATTCACAATTGCCACAAAAGAATAAAATACCTAGGAATGCAGCTACCCAGGGAGGTGAAAGATCTCTGCAATGAGAGTTCCAAAATACCAGTCAAAGAAAATGGAGATGACACAAACAAATGGAAAAACATTCCATGCTCATGGATAAGAGCATGGATAATAATCAGTATTATTATAATGACTATACTGCCCAAAGCAATTTATAGATTAAATGATCTTTCTATAAAATTACCAATAACATTCTTCACTGAACTAGAAAAAACTATTTTGAAATTCATATGGAACCAAAACAGAACCCAAATACACAAGGCAATCCTAAGAAAAAAGAACAATACAGTAGACATCATGCTACCTGACTTCAAACTATACCACAAGACTACAGTAATGAAAGCAGCATGGTACTGGTATAAAAACAGACACATAGACCAATGGAACAAAATAGAGAACCCAGAAATAAGACCGCTCATCTATAACCATCTGATCTTTGACAAAGCTGCCAAAAACAAGCAATGGGGAAAGGACTCTACTCAATAAATGGTGCTGAGATAACTGACTAGCCATAAGCAAAAGATTGAAAGTGGACCTCTTCCTTACACCATATACAAAAATCAACTCAAGATGGAATAAAGACTTAAATGTAAAAACCGAAACCATAAAAAACCTTGGAAGACAACCTAGGTAATACCATTCTGGACATAGGAACTGGCAATGATTTCATGACAAACACACCAACAGCAATTGCAACAAAACCAAAAATTGACAGATGGGATCTATTTAAACTTAAGAGCTTCTGCACAGCAAAAGAAACTATCAACAGAGTAAACAGATGACCCACAGAATGGAAGAAAATATTTTCAAACTATGCATTCGACAAAGGTCTAATATCCAGCATCTATAAGGTATTTCAATCAACAAGCAAAAAACAAACAACCTCATTAAAAAGTGGGCAGAGGACCTGAACAGAGAGAAGGCATACATGCAGCCAACAAGCATTTGAAAAAAAGCTCAATACCACTGATCATTAGAGAGATGCAAATCAAAACCATAATGAGATACCATCTCACACCAGTCAGAATGACTATTAAAAAGTCAAAAAATAACAGATTCTCATGAGGTTGCAGAGAAAAGGGAATGTTTATGCACTGTTGGTGGGACTATAAATTAGTTCAACCATTATGGAAAGCAGTGTGGTGATTCACTACAAAGCTAAAATCATCATTACCATTCAACCCAGCAATCCCATTACTGGGTATATACCAAAAGGAACATAAAGTAAATATAACATGTTCATCATAAAGACCCATGCACACGTATTTTCATTGTAGCTCTATTTACTATAGCAAAGACATGAAATCAGCCTAAATGCCCATCAATGACAGACTGGATAAAGAAAATGTGGTACATATACACCATGGAATACTATGCAGCCATAAAGAAAAATGAGATTATGTCCTTTGCAGGAACATGAATGGAGCTAGAGGCCATTATCCTTAGCAAACTAACACAGAAATGGAAAAGCAAATACGGCATGTTCTCGCCTGTAAGTGGGAGCTAAATGATGAGAGCACATGGACACAAACAGGGGAACAACAGACACTGAGACTGACCTAAGGATTAAGGATGGGAGGAGGAAGAAGAGCAGTAAAAATAACTATTAAATATTAAGCTTAGTATCTGGATAATGAAATAATCTGCACAACACACCCTCATTGCATGAGTTTTCCTATATAACAAAACTGCACACATACTCCTTAGCCTAAAATAAAAGTTAAAAAGAAAGATTTTCAATCATATGGTCTGATTTGTGTGCACGTTTTTAATAGAGGACAGGTTGTTTGCTAATTAAAGTATCTGTGCCTGAGATTGGAGCTCCAGACTGTAGTGACACCCTTCCATTTAGCCAGTTACTGTGGGCCCTTTGCCTCAGTTTTCAGTTTGGTTGGTGATGGGCAAGCCGGTGAGGTTTTGGGGCTACAGGGTTTGCATTAGCCAAACTCAGTGGCATGTAGGCCTCAGTATTTGTCTTGTTTGGTTGAAACAATAGCTTACTTGAAGGGTTTAGGTCTTTTCATTACCAAAAGCACCAAACCAGTATTAACAGACCAACAGTCAACAGAATGGTGTGCAGCTGCCCTTGAAAGTCTTTTGTTGTCTGATTTTAATTTTTTCAGCATGTTTTATCATGAAGGAGGGGTTGTCTGGTTTTATAATTATAGGATATGGTTAATTTTATTACTATCTCCAGATGTGATTTTTATTTACTAACTAGAGTTTTCTATCTCCCTTCTTGGCAATGCACACTGTCAGAATGACCTTGGAAACTAGTATCAGTTCCCTGAAGGGAAAGAGACAAAGAGCCAAGATTAATTACCTCTTATGACCCAAATATTAAGGAAGGTTTTTTGGGTGATGGAAGTTCAGGCATAAATGGGTCCCCTATCAGATGCGTAGGTACCTGACCCTTGGGGCAATCTATGATTAATAGGCCCCAGGAGAGTATATGTCTTCCATCTGGCTTCCAGCCCTTATGGGATGTGGACAGGATCAAAAATCCCTAAAGACAGAGGCGGGGAAGACATTATTAAAGGGTCTCAGATATAATGAGTCATCATATACTAGGATATGAGACATAGCCCCATTAAATATAGGAAAGGGTGATTGAAAACTTTTTAAAAATTGGTATGAGGTATACATTGGCTAAGGAGACTTGAATTAAGGAAGATTAAAGTCTGAGGCAAGACAGACCCATCTAGGGGTTTATTTGCCAGAAAGGACTTTTAAAAAGTTGTTTAAGGAAACCATTATGTCTGTCAATTAAACAGACTGTCTGGGGAGATAATGGCCATGGATATGACAGCCCAGATAAAGGAAGTGGTTGAGGTTTGGCCTCATTTGGGTGCTCAAGAAGGGGAACTTTCTGGCATGTAGCCAACCAGGACCTCTAAACTGAATCAAGACAGCATTAAAAACAGCAATAACAACTATATTAACAGTTCTCAGAATGAACTAGCCCTGCTGATGCCTTGATCTTAGACTTCTAGCCTCCAAAACAGTGAAACAATACATTTATGTTGCTTAAGCCATTTAGTTTGGTAGCACTCTTTATTACAGTGGCCCTAGCAAACTAATACACTTCCAAACTAGCAATGCCATTTTTCATACCCATTAGTTGCAGAGGGCAGGTTTTACCACACTGTCACCACATCTCCCACCCCAGTTCTCCAAATTTCTGACTGCAGTTATGATTATCCTCATTTTAAGCGGTCAATAGCCCTTGTGATTAGTGCTAATATGTTAGTCACCACCATTCCATTAATAGAGCATAGTTCATTTGTATGGTCATTATGATGCTCTAAAATTTTCTGATAATATATATTTTTCAAAAGATAAAGTGTTTAATCCTTTCTCAGACCTTGAGAATATTACCAAAGGTTATTCTAAATTATTTTTCATCATTTAATTTTAAATGATATGCAACTTATAACACAGCCATCAAACTATACACAAGTTTCTCATTCTTCTGTATTATTTACTCAAATTTTCCAGTAGAGCTTAAATAAGCTGCTACACCGTAACTTTGATAACAACATGGAAAACAAAAGATGAAAATTTTATTATGTGATTTGTCAGTTTCCCTAATGATTATTCTTTTTTTTTCTCTCTTAAATGTTACAAGTCACTAAAATGCATTTATCAACTGCATAGAAAAATCATTTGACAAAATTCAACACCAATTTTCTTATTCTGCCCAGGCTGCCATAAAATACCACAAACTGTGTAGTTTATAAACAACAGAAGTTGATTTCTCACAGTTCTACAGGCCAGAAGATCAATATCAAGTTTCCACCAGGGGTGGTTTCTGGTGAGGTTCCTCTTCTTGGCTTATGAAGAGAGAAGGTGATCTCTAATGCCTCTTCCTTCTCTTATAAGAAAACCAGTCCTACAGAATTAGAGTTTCACCTTTATAACCTCATTTAATCTTAATTACTTCCTTAAAAGCTTTATCTCCCAAAATGGTTATGTTTGGGATTCAAGCTTTAACATATGGATTTTAAGAGGACACAATTCAGTCCATAACACCAATTCATAATGAAAACCCACAGAAAAATAGGAATAGAAAGGGAACATCTCCAACTTGATAAAGAGCACCTGTAAAAACCTATAGATGACATTGTACTTAATGGTGAAAAATTGAATGCTTTTCCCTTAAATAGTGAACAGGGCAAGAATGTCAGGTCTCACAACTCTTATTCAATGAAGTATTGAAGATTCTAGCCAGTGCAATAAAGTAAGAAAAGGAAATAAGAGACATACCAGTGAGAACAAAAGAAAGAAAACTGTTCCTACTTGGAGATTACATGATGGAAATGTTACCAGGAAGTGTGGGGGTGCTCGGTTCTTGTTTTACTTCAGAGAAAGAATTCAGCCAAGAGACAATTTAGCAAAGAGAGCAGAGAATTTACTGAAGGTAAATAAAGTACACTCCAAGGAAAAAGTGGGCTGGTCTGGCTGGAAAACAGCAGCAGTAGCAGCAAAGTTTAAGTAGTAACAGAGTTTATTTAAAGAGGCAGTACACCCTCAAATATGAGGCAGAGCAGGCTGCTGAAAGAGAATTGAGTCATCAGCCCCCAGACTTCTGCATTGTGGTTTTTATTATGTTGGACTCGCTTAAAGTTCCTCCTCTGTCTCAAGTCTCCACTTTTGTCTATATCCAGTTTTCCACTTCTGTGTTAAGTCTCCACCTTCCCCCTACCCCTCAATGCTGAGATCCTACCCCAGGTTTGTGGGATTCCCCCTTACAGTCAGTGGATGCACATGTGCAGGACTGATAATCAATACAAATCCTACCTAATGGTGCATTGCTCATGACTGCCACTCCAGGAAGGTTGTAGTGTGGTTAAATCTGAACTTACTGCATCTGCATATCTCTCAGGAATTTCCCCTTTGTGCTTTTTTTCTTCTTATTAGCATGGAGCTAGCTATATTCTGACAGTTTAACAGCAGAATGAGCAATTACTGGGTGTCTTAAGGGGCGTTTCTTTCTGCATAGGTATCTCTCTTCCTTTCTACTCACATTTGACTAATTGCCCACCCACTCCAGCATTAGAGATGTTATTAGTATGCAGATTTGTGGTAATCCCTGGATGGGTGAGGCTTCCTAGATCTCCCTTTCTCACAGGCTCCCCCTCCTGCTATCTGCCTACTCTAACAGAAATGTTTTCTATCTTAACTGTGTCAATGTCAGTATCTTGATTGTGTTATTGTTCTAAAGTTTTGCAAAATGTTAGCACTGGAGGAAACTGAGTGAAGGGTACATAGAATCACTCTATAGTACTTCTTACAATTACCTGTGACTCTACAATCATCTCAAAATAAAAAGCTTAATTTGAAAAATTAAAGTTAAAAACAAATTCCATTAGCTGTCACTTGTAAGTGTTCATAAAGATTTTTTTCCAACAACAAAAAAAAATTAACTAGGCATGGTGGTGTATGCCTGTATTCCCGGCTACTCAGGAGACTAAGGTGGGAAGATCACCTGAGCCCAGAAGTTTAAGGCTGCAGTGAGCTATCATCACACCACTGTACACTAGCCTGAGCAACAGAGCAAGGGCCTGTCTCTTAAAAAATAATAAGATTATTTTTCCACCCTAGATATTACAAATAACTAAGGTGTATTTTTTATTACAGAAAATACATGTAACAGAAACTTTACTATTTTACTCATTTTAAATAGTACGATTCACTGACATTTCATACATTCACAATGCTGTACAACCATCACCACTACCAAGTTCTAGAAGATTTTCATCACCCTGAAAAGAAAACTCGTACCCATTAGATAGTCACTCCCCATTCCTCCTAACCCAGGCCTTTGTAGACAGGAATCTGCTTTCTATCACTATGGATTTTCCTATTCTGGGTATTTCACACAAGTGGAATCATATACCACTTAGCTTTTCTGTCTGGTTTCTTTCACATGGCATAATGTTTTAAAGGTTCATCCATGTCGTAGTGAGTATCAGTATTTCATCCCTCTTCATGTTTGAATAAATTCAGTTGTGTGAATATATCACATTTTGTTTATACACATATCACCTGATGGATTTGGGGGTTGTTTCTGACTTTGGCTGTTGTAAACAGTGCTGCTATGAACATTAGTGTGCATATTTTCAATTATTTTGACTATATAGTGAACTTGCTATACCACGTTGTAATTCCATATTTAATTTATTGAAACTGTGATTCACAGTGGCTCCATCATTGTACATTCCCACCAGCAATATATGAGGTTTCCAATTTCTCCACATCCTTGCCAATACTTTTTATTTTTCAATTTAAAAATTATTATTATTGGATGGGCGCAGTGGCTCATGCCTGTAATCCCAGCACTTTGGGAGGCCAAGGCAGGTGGATCACCTAAGGTTGGGAGTTTGAGACCAGCCTGACCAACATGGAGAAATCCCGTATCTACTAAAAATACAAAATTAGCTCGGCGTGGTGGCGCATGCCTGTAATCCCAGCTACTTGGAAGGCTGAGGCAGGAGAATTGCTTGAACCCAGGAGGCGGAGGTTGCAATGAGCCAAGATGGCGCCATTGCACTCCAGCCTGGGCAACAAGAGTGAAACTTTGTCTCAAAAAAAAAAAAAAGTATTATTATGGCAACCCTCGTTGGTGTGAAGTTGTATTTCATTGTGGTTTGTTTTGCATTTCCCTAATGACTAATCACAATGACCATCTTATGCTTGTTGGCCATTTCTATGTCTTCTTTGGAGAAATGTCTATTCAAATCTTTTACCTATATTTTAACTGGATTGTTTGGTTTTGAATAGTATGAGTTCTTCATATATTCTGGACACTAGAACATTATTGGATATATAATTTGCAAATATATTTTCACATTAAATGTGTTGTCTTACACTCTCTTGGTGGGCACATTTTGATGTACAAATGCTTTAATTTTGATAAAGTCTATTTCTTTATGTTTTCTTTCGATGTAATATAGTTTGGATACTTGTCCCTGCTCACATTTCATGTTGAAATGTAATCCCCAGTGTTGGAAGTGGGGCCTGGTGGGAGGTGTTTGGATCATAGGAGCAGATCCCTTATGAATGCCTTGGGCCATCTGCTTGATGATAAGTGATCTCTCACTCTGAGTTCACATGAGATCTGGTCATTTAAAAGTGTGGGCCCCTCCCCCTCCACTCTCTCTTGCTTGCTTCTGCTTTTGCCATGTGAAGTGTGTCTGCTCCTGCTTCACCTTCTGCCATAATAAAATCTCCCTGGGGCCTCCCCAGAAGCTGAGCAGATGCCAGCACCACACCACCTTTACAGCCTGCAGAGCCATGAATCAATTAAACCTTTTTTATTTATAAATTACCCAGTCTCAGGTATTTCTGCATAGCAAAGCAAGAATGGCCTAATACTTTGATGCACAAATGGTTTAATTTTGATAAGCCCATTTCTTTATGTTTTCTTTGGATGCTTGTGCTTTGGGTGTCATTTAAAAATCACTGCTAAATCCAGAAAAGAGTAGATGTTTCCTTCTAAGAGTTTTATAGTTTTAGTTCTCATACTTAAGTCTTTAGTCCATTTTACATTAATTTTTGTATATGGTGTGAGGTAAGAATCTAACTTCCTTCCTTCACATATGGTGATCCATTTGTACCAGCACCACTTGTTGAAGAGACTGTTCTTCCCCGATTGAATGGTCTTAGCATATTTTTAGGAAATGAATGGGCCATACGTGTATAGGCTTATTGCTGAACTCTCGATTTTATCCCATTTGTCCATGTGCCTATTATTTTGCCAGTATCAAACTGTTTTGATTACTATAGCTTTGTAGGAAATTTTGAAATCAGGAATGTGAGTCTTCCAACTGTGTTCTTTTTTCTTAATTGATACCATAATACTTGTACATATTTATGGGGTATATGTGATATTTTGTTACATGCATAGAATGTGTAATGAATGATCAAGTCAGAGTATTAAAAATATTTATTATCTCAAACATTTATCATTCCTACTTGTTAGGAATATTTCAAATCCTCTCATAGCTATTTTGAAATATATAATATATTGTTGTTAACTATAGTCACCCTACTGTGCTGTCAACAATTAGAACTTACTCCTTCTGTCTAACTGTATGTTTATACCATTATCCTCCACCGCCACCCCCACCTTCCCACCATTCCCCCACCACACACAGACACATACACTTCCCAGCCTCTGGTAATTATCATTCTACTCTCTACCTCCATGAGAACAATTGTTTTTAGCTCTCACATTTGATTGAGAACATGTGTTATTTTTGTTTTACTATGCCTGGCTTATTTTACTTAACATAATATCCTCCATTTCCATCCATGTTGCTGAAAATGACAGTATTTTATTATTTTATGGCTGAACAGTATTCCATTGTGCATATATATCATATTATTTTTATCCATTCATTCACTGATTGACGTTTAGGTTGATTAGGTTATTGTGACTAGCGCTGCAATAAACATGGGGGGGTGCAGGTATCCCTTTGATACACTGATATCGTTTCCTGTGTATAAACACCTAGTAGTGGGATTGCTGGAGCATATAGTCCTATTTTTAGTTTTTTGAGAAATCTCTGTACTGTTGTCCATAATAGCTGTATTAATTTATATTCCCACCAGCAGTGTATAAGAGCTTCACTTTTGGCTGGGCATGGTGGCTCATGCCTGTACTCCCAGCACTTTGGGAGGCCAAGGCAGATGGATCACTTGAGGTCAGGAGTTCGAGACTAGCCTGGTCAACATAGTGAAACCCCATCTCTACTAAAAATACAAAAATTAGCCAAGTGTAGTGGCAGGCACCTGTAATCCCAGCTACTTGGGAGGCTGAGGCAGGAGAATTGCTTGAACCCGGGAGGCGGAGGTTGCAGTGAACCAAGATCATACCACTGTACTCCAGCCTGGGCAACAGAGCGAGACTCCATCTCAGAAAAAAAAAAAAAAGAGTTTTGCTTTCTCCTCATCTTCACCAACATCAATTATTTTTTGTCTTTTTGATAACAGCCATTCTAACTTGGGTAAGATAATACGTCTCTGTGATTTTGACTGGCATTTCCCCAATGATTAGTGATGTTGAACATTTTTATATGCCTATTGGCCATTTGTATGTCTTGTTTTCAGATATAAGTATTCAGATGCTTTACCCACTGTTTAATGGGATTCTTTGCTTTTTTTGCTCTTATCTGAGTTCCTTGTATATTCTGCATATTAGTCCCTTGTCAAATGGATATTTTGCAAATATTTTCTCCCATTCCATAGGTTGTCTTCATTCTGTTGATTGTTTCCTTTGCTATGCAGAAGCTTTTTAGTTTAATATAGTCCCATTTTTCTACTTTTGTTTGTGTTACTTGTGCTTTTGATGTCTTAGCCATAAAATCTTTGCCTAGACCAATGCCCTGGAGTGCTTCCTCTATGTTTTCTTCTAGTAATTTTATAGTTTCAGGTCTTACGTACAACTTTAATTTCAATCTATTTTGAGTTGATATTTTTAAATGATGAGAGTTAGGAACCTAGTTTCACTCCTCTGTATCCAGTTTTCCTAGCACCACTGATTAAAGAGAATGTCTTTTCCCCAGTGTATGTTCTTGACACCTTTGTCAGTTGGCTGTAAATATGTGTATTTATATCTGGGTTCCTTATTCTGTTCCAATTGGTATATATGTCTGTTTTCATACCAATAACACGCTGCTTTTGTTATTATAGCCTTGTAATAGATTTTCAAGTCAGGTAGAGTGATGCCTTCAGCTGTGTTTTTTTTTACTCAGGTTTGCCTTGACTCTTCAGGCTCTTCTTTTGGTCCATACAATTTTAAGATTGTTTCTATTTCTGTGAAAAATGTCATTGGTATTTTGAGAGAGATTGTGTTGAATCTGTGGATTTTGGGGGGTAATATGGTCATTTTAACAACATTAAATATTTCAGTCTACGAGCATACAATGTCTTTTTATTTGTTCCCTCTTCAATTTTTTTCATCAGTGTTTTGTACTTTTTCTCGTAAGGGTCTTTTACCTCCTTGGCTAAATTTATTCTTAGAGTTTTTTCTTTGTACAGATTTTAAATGAGATTGCTTTATTGGTTTCCTTTTTAGCTAGTTTGTTATTGGTATATAGAAATGCTACTAATTTTTGTATGTTGATTTTGTATCTTGCCACTCTACTGAATTTATCAGATCTAAGAGGCTTTTGGTGGAGTCTTCAGGTTTTTCTAGATATAACTTCACGTCCTCTGCAAAGAGGGACAATTTAAATTCCTCTTTATCAATTTGGGTACCTTTCATTTCTTTCTGTTGCCTGACTGCTCTGGCTAGGACTTCTAATACTAGACTGAATAAGAGTGGTGAAAATGGGCATTCTTATCTTATTTCAACTCTTCGAGAAAAGGCTTTCAGCTTTTTCCCATTCAGTATGATATTAGCTGGAGGTTTGTCATCTATGGCATTTATTACATTGAGTATGTTCTTTCTTTGCCTAGTTTGTTGAGTGTTTATCATGAAGAGATGCTGAATTTTATCAAATGATTTTTCTGCATCTATTGAAATGATCATGAAGTTTTAGTCCTTCATTCTGTTGATGTATGTATTACAGTTATTGATTTGCATACATTGAACCATTCATGTATTCCTGGGATAAATCCCACTAGATAAATCCCACCTGATCATAGTGTATTATCTTTGTATTGTTGGATTTAGTTTGCTAGTATTTTGTTGAGAATTTTTGTGTCTATGTTGATCAGTGATACTGGCCTGTAGTTTTCTCTTTTTGGTTTGTCCTTGTGTAGTTTTGGTATTAGGGCAGTTCTGGCATCATAAAATCAGTTAGGAATAATTCCTTCACCTTCAATTTTTTGAAATAGTTTGGTAAGAACTGGTGTTCGTTATTCCTTATAAGTTTGGCAACATTCAGCAATAAAGCCATATAGTCCTGGACTTTTTTTTTCCTATGAAACTTTTTATTACTGATTCAATCTCATTACTCATTATTGGTCACTTCAGGTTTTTTATTTTTTTCTGATCCAATCTTGGTAGGATGTGTGTGTTCAAGAATTCATTTATTTCCTCTAGGTAACCAAGTTTGTTAGCATATAGTTGTTCATAATAGTCTCTGATGATGTTTTGTATTTCTGTGGTATCAGTTATAACATCTCATTTTCTGTTCTTAATTTTGTTTATTTGGGTCTTCTCTCTTTTCTTTCGTGGTTAATATAACTAGCAGCTTATCAGCTTTATTTCTCTATTTAAGAAACAACTTTTCATTTCACTCATCATCTATATTTTTTGAGTCTCCATTTCATTCAGCTCTGCTTTGATCTTTATTATTTCCTTTCTTCTACTAATTTTGGCTGTGGCTTATTATTGCTTTTCTAGTTCCTTGAGGTGTATCATTAAGTTGCTTATTTGAAATCTTTCTGTTTTTTAAATTTCGGGGTTTTTTTTGAGGTAAAATATACATATTAATTTTATCATCTTTACCATGTTTTTAATGTTTAATTTTTGTGAGCACATATGAGGTGTATATGTTTATGGGGTATAAGGGATATTTTGATATAGGCATGCAATGTGTAACCATCACATCGGGGTAAGTGGGGTATCCATCATCTCAAGAATTATTCTGTGTGTTACAAACAATCTAATTATACTCTTGTAGTTACCTTTAAATGCACAACGGGTGACAACGGTCACCCTGTTATGCTATCAATTACTACATCTTATTCATTCTTTTTAACTTTGTACCCATTAACTATCCCCACTTCCCTTCCACCTCCCCCCACACTACCCTTGCCAGCCTGTGGTAACCATTATTCTACTCTCTATCATCTTGAGTTCAGTTATTTTAATTTTTAGCTCCAACAAATAAGTGAGAACATGAAAAGTTTGTCTTTTTGTGCCTGTCTTATTTCACTTAACATAATGACCTCCAGTTCCATTCATGTTGTTGCAAATGACAGGATATCATTTTTGGTGGCTGAATAGTATTCCATTGTTTATACATTCCACATTTTCTTTATTCATTATCTGTTGACAGATGTTTGGTTGCTTTCCAAATCTTGACTATTGTGAACAGTGCTTCAATAAACATGGGAGTGCAGATATCTCCTTGATATACTGACTTCCCTTTTTTAGGGTATATACCTAGCAGTGGGATGGCTGATCATATGGTAGCTCTATTTTTAGTTTTTTGAAGATCCTCCGAACCATTCTCCATATATACAAATTGACGTTCCCACCAACAGTGTATGAAGATTCTATTTGATCCACATCCTTGCCAGCATTTGCCTTTTTTTTTGGATAAAAGCCATTTTGACTGGGGTGAGATGATACCTCATTGTAGTTTTTATTTGCATTTGTCTGATGATCAATGCTGTTGAGCACATTTTCATATACCTATTTGCCATATGTATGCCTTCTTTTGAAAAATGTCTATTCAGATCTTTTGCCTATTTTTGAATTGAAATATTAGATTTTTCCTTTAGAATTGTTTGAGCTCCTTATGTATTCCAGTTATTAATCCTTTGTTAGATGAATAGTTTGTTAATATTTTCTCCCATTCTGTTAGGTGTCTTTTCACATTTTTCACTGTTTCTTTTGCTGTGCAGAAGCTTTTTAACTAGATATGATACCATTTGTCCATTTTTGCTTTGGTTGCCTGTGCTTATGAGGTATTACTCAAGAAATCATTGCCCAATCCAATGTCCTGGAGAGTTTCTCCAGTGTTTTAGTAGTTTTATATTTTAAGGTCTTAAAGTATTTAATCCATTTTGATTTGATTTTTGTATGTGGTGAGAGATAGGGATCTAGTTTCATTCTTCTATATATGGATATCCAGGTTTCCAGCACCATTTAGTGAAGAGGCTGTCTTTTCTTCGGTGTATGTTTTTGGCACCTTTGTGGAAAATGAGTTCACTCTATATGTTTAGATTTCTTTCCGCATTCTCTGTTCTGTTCCATTGGTCTATGTGTCTGCTTTTATGCCAGTACCATGCTGTTTTGGTTACTATAGCTCTGTAGTAAATTTTGAAGTCAGATTGTGTGATGCCTCCAGCTTTGTTCCTTTTGTTCAGTATTGCTTTGGCTATTCAGGGTCTTTTGAGGTTTTATATAAATTTTAGGATATTTTTCTATTTATGTGAAGAGTGTCATTGGATTTTGATAGGGATCATATTGAATCTTTTAATTGCTTTTGGTGGTATGGACATTTTGATTCTTCCAATCCATGAACATAAAATCTTTTTGTATTTCTGTGTGTGTCCTCTCAATTTCTTTTATCAGAGTTTTCTAGTTTTCCTTATATAGAATTTTCACTTCTTTGATTACATTGATAGCAGCATATTTTAGATTTTTTGTAGCTCTTATAAATGGAATTGCTCTCTTCATTTCTTTTTCAGATTGTTCACTGTTGTTCACTGTTGGCAAATGCTACTGATTTTTCTGTGTTGATTTTGTATCCTGCAACTTTACTCGATTTATTTATCAGTTCCAACAGTTTCTTGGTAGAGTCTTTAGTTTTTTCTAGTTATAAGATCATGTTGTCTGCAAACAAAGCTAATTTGACTACTTCCTTTCCTATCTCTATGTTATTTCTTTTTCTTTCCTAATTGCTTTCTACAGGACTTCCAGTGTTACAGCAAATAAAAATGTTGAAAATGGGCATCCTTGTCTTGGTCCACTCGAGAGAAAAAGCCTTCATTTTTTTCCCCATTCGGTACAATGTTAGCTGTGGTTTTGTCATATATAGCTTTTATTACTTTGAGGTATGTTTCTTCTGTACCTATTTTGATGGGGGTATTTATCATAAAGGGATGTTGAATTTTATCAAGTGCCTTCTCAACATCTATTGAAATAGTCATTTTTTTTTCCTTGGTTCTGTTAAGGCGATGTATCACATTTATTGATTTGTGTACGTTGAACCATCCCTGCTTCCCTAGGATGAATCTTACTTGATCACGGTGACTGATCTTTTTAATGTGGTGCTGAATCCAGTAATATTTTGTTGAGGATTTTTGCATCTATGCTCATCAGTGATGTTAGCCAATAGTTTTCTTTTTTGTGTTACATCTTTATGTGGTTTGGTATCAGGGTAATGCTGGCCTCATAAAATGGGTTAGGAAGGATTTCCTCGCCTTCAAGTTTTTGGAATAGTTTGATTAGAATTGGAGTTCATTCTTCTTCATAAGTTTGATAGAATTCAGCATCGAAGCCATCAAGGCCTGGGCTTTCCTTTGATAAAAGGGTTTTTGTTACAGTTTTGATCTCATTACTCATTATTGGCTTGTTTAAGTTTTCTATTTGTTCTCTCTTATTTAGCCTAGCTAAAGACTTGCTAATTTTATCTTTCAAAACACCAACTTTTCATTTCATTAATCTTTTGTATTTTTTTAGTCACTATTTTATTTAGTTATGCTCTCATCTTTATTCTTCTCTTCTACAAATTTTGGATTTGGTTTGTTCTTGCTTTTTTTTTGTTCCTTGAGGTTCATTGTTAGGTTGTTCATTTGAAGTCTTTTTACTTTGTTAATGTAGTCTTTATTGCTATAAACTTCTCTCTTAGCACAGCTTTTGATGTTTCTCAGAAGTTTTGGTAGGTCAGGTTTTCATTTTCATTTGTTTAAAGAAATTTTTTATTTCCTTCTTAATGCCTTCATTGATGGAATGGCCACGCAGGAATGTGTTGTTTCATTTTCATGTATTCGAAACTTTGCAAATTTCCTCATTATTGATTTCTAGTTTTATACCACTGTGGTTTCAGAAGTTAGTTAATATGATTTTGATTTTTAAAATTTGTTCAGACTTGTTTTGTGACCTAACACATGATCTATTCTGGAGAAGATTCCATGTGCTGATAAGAAAAATGTGTATTCTGAAGTTGTTGGATAAAATGTTCTGTAAATGTCTTTTAAGTCCATTTGGTCTGTGATATAGTTTAGATCCAATGTTTATTTGTTGATTTTTTGTGTAAATAATCTGTCTAAGTCTGAGAGTGGGGTTTGAAGTCCCAAATCTTTTTGTATTGTAGTTTATCTCTCTCTTTAGGTCTAATAATATTTGCCTTATATATCTGGGTGCTCTAGTTTTGGGTGCATATATATTTAGAATTGTTATATGCTCTTGCTGAATTGACTCCTTTATCTATAATTGTATAATGACATCTTTGTCTCTTTTTATTATTTTTGGCTTGAAGTCTGCTTTATCTGATATAAGAATAGTTATTCCCACTCACTTTTGGTTTCCATTTGCCTGGAAATGTTCTATTCATTCATTCTGTATCTTTTCAGGTGAAGTGATTTTTTTATAAGCAGCATAGATTTGTTTTTTTTAATTCAGTCAGTCCATATATTTTAAGTATTTAATCCATTTACATTCAAGATTACTATTCATATATGAGGACTTATTCCTGTCATTTTCTTTTTTTTTTTTTTTTTTTTTGAGACGGAGTCTCGCTCTGTCGCCCAGGCTGGAGTGCAGTGGCGGGATCTCGGCTCACTGCAAGCTCCGCCTCCCAGGTTCACGCCATTCTCCTGCCTCAGCCTCCCAAGTAGCTGGGACTACAGGCGCCCACCACTACGCCCGGCTAATTTTTTGTATTTTTAGTAGAGACGGGGTTTCACCGTTTTAGCCGGGATGGTCTCGATCTCCTGACCTCGTGATCCGCCCGCCTCGGCCTCCCAAAGTGCTGGGATTACAGGCGTGAGCCACCGCGCCCGGCCCCTGTCATTTTCTTAATTGTTTTCTGGTTCTTTTATATATCCTTTGTTCCTATCTTTCTCTTGTGTTGTTTATTATTGTGGTTTGGTGGTCTTCTATAGTGGTAACATTGGAGCTCTCTTTCTTATTTATGTGTGTGCTCTACCAGTGAGTTTTCTACTTTCACATGTTTTCATGTTGGTAAAAATCATTATTTTGCTTCCAGGTGTAAAACTGCCTTAAACATTTATTGTAGAGCTGATCTAGTGGTAATAAATTTTCTCAGTTTTTTGTGTGTCTGGGAAAAACTTTATTTTTTCTTCATTTCTAAAGGATAACTGCTGGGTATAATGTTCTTAATTGGCAGGGTTTTTTTCTTTAAGCCCTTTGAATATATCAGTCCAGTCTCACCTGGCCTGTAAGGTTCTACTGAGAAATTCACTGTTGGTCTAATGGGGATTACATTATATGTGACTTGACACTTTTTTCTTGCTGTTTTTACAATTCTCTTTCTCTTTGACTTTTGATAGTTTGAGTATAAGGTGCCTTGGAGGAAAACTTTTTGGGTTGTATTTATTTGGGAATCTAAGAGCCTACTGTATCTGGATGTCTAAATCTTGCAAGACTTGGGAAGTTTTCTCCTATTATTTTGTTAAGTGGGTTTTCTATAACTTTGCCTTTCTCTTCTTCTGGAACACCCACAATTCAAATTGTTTTTATGGTGTCCCATATACCACAAAGGCTTCCTTCATTTTTTTTTCTTTTCTTCTTTTTTGTCTGACTGAGTTATTCCAAAAGACCTGTTTTCAAGTTCTGAAATTGTTTCTTCTGCTTGGTATAATCTATTGTTGAAGCTCTTGATTGTATATTTCATTCATTGAATTCTTCAGTTCCAAGATTTCTGTTTTTATATCTATCAGTTTGCTGAACTTCTCATTCATATCCTGAATTGTTTTTCTGATTTCTTTGGGTTGCTTATTTGTGCTTTCTTGTATCTCACGGTGTTAGGTTGTTCATGCGTTGCTGTAAAGAAATACCTGAGGCTGGATAATTTATAAAAAAGAAACTTAATTGGCTCCTGGTTCTGCAGGCTGTACAGAAAGCATGGTGCTGACATCTGCTCAGCTTCTGGGGAAGTCTCAGGGAGCTTTTACTCATGGTGGAAGGTGAAAGGAGAGCAGTTACGAAGTGCCACACACTTTGTAACAACCAGATCTCACAAGAACTCACTCATTGTCACAAGGACAGCACCAAGGCGATGATGCTAAATCATCCACGAGAAATCTGTCCCTGTGATTTAATCACCACCCATGTGGCCCGATCTCCAACACTGGGGATTTCAATTAAACATGAGATTTAGAGGGGGTACATATCCAATTGTATCACTCACTGAGCTTCTTTACTATTATTTTTAATTTTTTTCAAGCATTTTATAATTTTTTCTTCACTGGAATCTATTGCTAGAGAATTATTTTTTCCTTTGGAGGTGTCACATTTCTTTCCTTTTTTATGTTTCTTGTGTCCTTGCATTGATATCTACGCCTCTGATATACTAGTTCCTTCTTCCAATATTTTGGATTGGCTTTTGTAGGGGAAGACTTTTTCCTGTAATTGTATCTATGGTGTCTGTTGGCATGTAAGCTTTTATTCTGAGTGTGTGCAGTAATGTAGTCTTCATATGATTTCTCTGGTTGTAAATGGTCTCAGTGGTGTCTGTGATTTCCTCAGTGGCTTAGGCTATGTTTGTTATGGAGGCTGTGCTTGGCATAAAGACACCAGGTGGGCCAATTCTCAGGCCTCATTGGTGGCAGCAGCTGGCTGAGTGTGCTTGTCCTTGGGCCCCCAGGCAGCCAGTATTACATGGACACCAATGTTAGTGGGTCCAGGCAGGCCAATTCACAGGGCTCCAAGTGGCTTGCTCCAGCATGTAGCAGTGGCAACATGGGATGGGTAGGTAGGCAGGCCCTTCGTCAACATGTGTGACATGGGCAACGATAGTATTCATCATAGGAAAACCCTCTGGCTCCCAGGAAGCTCCTGCTGGTGTTAGTGGTGGTAACAAAGGGCTGGGGAGGCCCATCCCCAGATACCCAGGTGGAACATGCAGGTGAATGTCAATGGTGGTGATGGTGACAGGCTGGGAAGGCTCATCCTCCGGCCCCCAGAACTGCATGGATGCCAGAAGTAGTGGATGATGTGCAGCAGACAACACAGCACAATCCCCAGGCCCCCAGGCAATGCGCTCAAGCACTAGGAGGGACAGCACCAGGCAGAACCTGCCTGTCCTTAGGCCTGCACAGATGCAGGCTGTAGTGGGTGGATCAGAGGAATCCCCATGACCCCTTTGGCATGCTCAAGTGGCAGCAGCAGTGTCAGCATTGGTTGGGGAGAGCCTGTTCTCAGGAGCATGTGAGTGTGCTGAGGCCCTGCTGTTAAGGAGAGTTTCTGTTTAGTGGCAGCTACCCCAGGCAGGCAGCTTTCAGGCTCTGGAGCGTATGCCCTTCCATTCCCTTTGTCCTGGAGGCAGCCTCTCTGGTGAGACCCAAGTAGCTGGGGATACTACTGGGGATCTCTCTGTTGCCTTTTTCTGCACAAGGAGTCTTTCTGGGATCCCTGCCTATCCCAGCCAGGCTGGCTGCTTCATTTCTCTCTTTTTTCATGCCTTATTTCTGTTACTTCCCTCCTAAGTTTCAGTGATCTCTCTTAGATTCTCTACTTGAAGTGTGATTATCTACTTGCTGCTTTGGTTCTTCTTAGTGGAGGAAAAGTGTCAGGTGCCTCTACCTAGCCATTGAAGATCATCTCCTGTCCTTCTTTTTCAATATTGTTTTAACTATTTGAAGTCTCTTGCAATTCCACATGCAGTTGAGGATTTCCCATTTCTGCAGAAAAGGCCATTGGGATTTTAATAAGGATTGCATTGAATATGTAGATCTCTTTGAGGAGTATTACCGTCTTGAGAATATTAAGTCTCTATTCCATGCACAGAGAATGTCTTTCCATTTATTTATACTTTCTTCAATTTCTTTTAGTACCATTTTGTAGTTTTCAGTGTAGAGGTCTTGCTCCTTACTTGAATTTATTCCTAAGTATTTTATTATTTTTGATGCTATTATAAATGTAATTGTTTCCTCAATTTCCTTTTAAGATTGTTCATTGCTGATATATAGAAATACAACTCATTTTTGCATGTTTTTGTATCCTGTAACTTTGCTGAATTTGTTTATTAGCCCTAAGGAGTTTGGGATCTTGTTGTGGTATGTTTAGGATGTACATCATATGTGAATAGAGATCATTTTACTTCTTTCTCTCCAGTTTGGATATTTTTTATTTATTTTTATTTTCCTTGACTAATTATCCTGGGTAAAACTTCCAGTATAATGGTGAATAGAAGTGGTGAAAGTGGGCATTCTTGCCTTGTTGTGCTAATAGAGGGGAGCTTCCAGTCTTCCAAAAATTAGCATGCTCTCAGCTTTGAGTTTTTTAATAAATTCCCTTTCTTGTGTTGAGGAAGTTCCCTTCCGTTCCTAGTTTTTTTGAGAATTTTTATCATGGCAGAATGTAAGATTTTTGTCAAATGCTTTTTCTCCATCAATTGAGATCATGTGACTTTTTTCTTCATTCTATTAATGTGGTTTATTACATAGATTGATTTTCATATGTGGAACCAATTTTGCATTCTTAGGATAAATCCCACTTTTACGTGATGTCTAATCCTTTTAATATGCTACTGGATTTAGTTTGCTGGTATTTTGTTGAGGATTTTTGCATCTATATTCAAAAGGAATATTGGTCTGTAGTTTTCTTTTCTTGTGATTTCTTTGTCTGGGTTTGGCATCAGGATAATGTTGGTCTCATAGAATGAGTTAGGAAGTGTTCCTTTTTCTTCTATTTATTGAAGAAACTTGAGAAGAATCAGTGTTAACCCTTGTTTAAATGTTTAATACACTGTATTCACCAATAAAGTCATCTGGTCCTGGGCCCTTTTTTGTTAGATTTTTTTATTACAGATTCAAACTCTTTACTAGTTATACACCTCTTCAGATTTTCTGTTTCTTCTTGGGTCAGTTTTGGTACTTTGTGTGTTTTAGGAACTTTTCCATTTTATCTAGGTTATCTAGTTTATTAGTGTACAAATGCTCATAGTGTTCTTTTATAATGCTTTTTATTTCTATAAGGTCAGTAATGTCCCCACTTTCATTTCTGATTTTAGTTTAGTAATTCAAGCTCTCTCTTGGGTTTCGTTTCCTCTTCTTTTTTAGTTCCTTAACTTAGGTTATTAATTTGAGACTTTGATCTTTTTAATGTAGGCACTAGCTGCTATAAATGTCCTTCTGAGCACCGCTTTTACTATATCCCATAAGTTTTGGTATGTTTGTTTTCATTTTCATTTATCTCAATGTATTTTCTAATTTCCTTGTGATTTTTTCTTTGACCCATTAGTTATTTAATGTCCATGTATTTGTGAACTTCTCAACTTTCCTTCTGTTGCTGATTTTTAGTTTTATTCCATTATGATTACAGAAGATGTTTCTTACAATTTTAATCTTTTTAAACATATAGGGACTTGTTTAGTCTATTCTGGAGAATGTACCATGTGCACTTAAGAATAATGTGTATTCTGCTGTTTTGGGGTGAAGGGTTCTGCATGCATCTGTTAGGTCTAGTTGGTTTATAATGTTATTCGAGTCTTTTGTATATAGATAGATAGATTATCTGTCTAGTTGTTCCACCTCATTATTGGAAGTGGGACATTAGGCCAGGTGTGCTGGCTCATGCCTGTAATCCCAGCACTTTCAGAGGCCGAGGCGGGCGGATCACCTGAAGTCAGGAGATCGAGTCCATAGTGAAAACCCCAACTCTACCAAAAATACAAAAATCAGCCAGGTATGGTGGCACATGCCTGTAATCCCAGCTACTCGGGCAGCTGAAGCAGGAGAATCACTTAAACTGGGGAGGCGAAGGTTACAGTCAGCCGAGATTGCACCACTGCACTCCAGCCTGGGCGACAGAATGAGATTCCATCTCAAAAAGAAAAAAAAAGAAAAAAAGAAAGTGGGACATTGAAGTCTCTAACTATTACCGTAGAACTGTTGATTTCTACTTTCATTTCTGGCAATTTTTGCTTCATATATTTTGATGCTCTGTAGTTAGTTGTGTATATTATCATTATATCATCTGTTGTATCCTCCAGATTGACTCTTTATCAATATGTAATGCACTTTTGTATTTTATAATAATTTTTACTTAAAGTTTATTTTGTCTGATATTGGTGTAGCCAACCTTGTGCTCTTTTGGTTTCTATTTACATGAATATCACTTCCCATCCTTTTACTTTCAACCTATGTGTCTTTAGATCTAAAGTTAGTCTCTCATAGGCAGTATATTGATGAATCATGTTTGTTTCCCCCTTTCTGCTAATCTTTGCCTTTTAATTGAAAGTTTAATCCATTTCCATATAACACAATAAAGAAGGACTAAACATTTTACCATTTGTTTTCTCTATGTCATTCATCTTTCTGTTCCTCAGTTCCTTATTAGTGCCTTCTTTTTTATTTGATTTTTCTAGTATAACGTTTGGTTTCTGTCTCATTTCTGTTTTGTATATATTTTGGTTATCTTCTTTGTGGTTATATTAGAGATTATAATTCAATCTATAAATTTATAACCACCTAGTTAAAAAGAAACTCTACCCTTCTACGATTTGAGCCTTTGGTGCTTTTCTCTTTAATTGCTATTGTCACAAATTACATCTTTAAATATGTGTGCCTATTTAACACAGATTCATAGTTGTTGTCTTATGAATGTGTCTTTTAAATCATATAGGGAAAAATTACAAATCAAAATAAAATAATACTGGCTTTTATATTTACCTATGTAGCTACCTTTACTGGCATTCCTTGTTTCTTCATATGGCTATGAGTTACTGTCTAGTGTTCTTTTATTTCAGTCTAAAGGATTTCCTTCAACATATCTTATAGGGCAGGTCTACAGAGAATAAACTCCCTCAGCTTTTGTTTATTTGGAAATGTCTTGATTTCTTCTTCCTTTTTGAAGGATACTTTTGTCAGATTGGAGATTATTGTTTACAATTTTTTTCAGCACTCTAAATATGTCATCCCACTACCTTCTGGGCTCTAAGGCTTCTGACGAGTAATTGGCCAATACTCTTATTAAGGAGCCCATGTATATGATGAGTCACTTCTTGCTGCTCTCAAAATTTTCTTTGGCTTTGTCTTTTGACAGTTTGATTGTAATGTGTGGATCTCTTTGAGTTTATCCTACTTGAAGTTCATTCAACTCTTGGGTGTGTAGATTAATGCCTTTCGTCCAACTTAGGGATTTTTCTTTTTTTTTTTTTTCTTTGCTGTTTTTGAGATGGACTCTTGCTCTGTCACCCAGGCTGGAGTGCAGTGGCGCAATCTCGGCTCACTGCAAACTTCACCTCCCAGGTTCAAGCAATTCTGCCTCAGTCCCCCAAGTAGCTGGGATTACAGGCACGTGCCACCATGCCCAGCTAATTTTTTGTATTTTTAGTAGAGATGGGATTTCACCATGCTGGCCAGGCTGGTCTCAAACTCCTGACCTCGTGATCCACCTGCCTTGGCCTTCCAAAGTGCTGAGATTACAGGTGTGAGCCACTACGCCTGGCCTAATTTAGGGATTTTTCAACCATTATTTCTTCAAATATTCTTTCTGCTTTCTCCCTCTCCTCTCCTCCTTGGACTCTCATTATACATAGTAGTATACTTGATAGTGTTTCACAAGCCTCTCTATTCATTTTACTTTATTCTTTTTTCTTTCTGGTCTTCAGACTGGATAATCTCATTGATCTATCTCAAGGTAGCTTTTTTTCTTCTTCTTACTGTTCAAATCTCCTGTTGAAACCCTATAGTAAATGTTTTATTTCAGTTTTTATATTTCTCAGCTCCATAATTTCCACTCAGTTTCTTTCTTACATTTTAATCTCTTTGTTGGTATTCTCTATTTGGTAAGATTGTGTTTGGGTTTTCTTTAGTTCTTTCCACATGGTTTTCCTTAGCTTTTGAGCTGGGGTGTAGGGGTTGGTAGCCAGGTATGTTAACATATGGTCAATAGATTGCAAAATTTTTCTCCCATTCTGTAGGTTGCCTGTTCACTCTGATGATAGTTTCTTTTGCTGTGCAGAAGCTCTTTAGTTGAATTAGATCCCATTTGTCAATTGCGGCTTTTGTTGCCATTGCTTTTGGTGTTTTAATCACAAAGTCTTTACCCATGCCTGTGTCCTGAATGGTATTGCCTAGGTTTTCTTCTAGGGTTTTTGTGGTTTTAGGTATTACATTTAAGTCTTTAATCCATCTTGAGTTAATTTTTGTATAACGTGTAAAGAAGGCGTCCAGTTTCAGTTTTCTGCATATGGCTAGCCAGTTTTCCCAACACCATTTTTTAAATAGGGAATCCTTTCCCCATTGGTTGCTTTTGTCAGATTTGTCAAAGATCAGATGTTGTAGATGTATTATTTCTGAGATGGCATTATTTCTGAGGCCTCTGTTCTGTTCCATTGGTCTACATATCTGTTTTGGTACCAGTACCATCTGTTTTGGTTACTGTAGCCTTGTAGTATAGTTTGAAGTCAGGCAGCACGATGGCTCCAGCTTTGTTCTTTTTGCTTAGGATTGTCTTGGCTGTACAGGCTCTTTTTTGGTTCCATATGAAATTTAAAGTACTTTTTCCTAATTCCATGAGAAAGTCAATGGTAGCTTGATGGGGATAGCATTGAATCTATAAATTACTTAGGGCAGTATGGCCATTTTCACAATATTGAGTCTTCCTATCCATGAGCATGGAATGTTTTTCCATTTGTTTGCGTCCTGTCTGATTTCCTTGAGCTGTAGTTTGTAGTTCTCCTTGAAGAGCTCCTTCACATCCATCTGACAAACGGCCAATATCGAGAATCTACAAGGAACTTAAGCAAATTTACAAGAAAAAAACAAACAACCCCATCAAAAAGTGGGCAAAGGATATAACAGACACTTCTCAAAAGAAGACATTTATGTGGCCAACAAACATATGAAAAAAAGCTCATCATCACTGGTCATTAGAGAAATGCAAATCAAAATACAATGAGATACCATCTCATGCCTATTAGAATGGCCATCATTAAAGTCAGGAAACAACAGATGCTGGAGAGGATGTGGAGAAATAGGAACGCTTTTACAATGTTGGTGGGAGTGTAAATTAGTTCAACCATTGTGGAAGACAGTGTGGTGATTCCTCAAGGATCTAGAACCAGAAATATCATTTGACCCAGCAGTCCCATTACTGGGTATATACCCAAAGGATTATAAATCATTCTACTATAAAGACACATGCACTCGTATGTTTATTGCAGCACTGTTCACAATAGCAAAGATTTGGAACCAACCCAAATGCCCATCAATGATAGACTGGATAAAGAAAATGTGGCACATATATACCATGGAATACTATGCAGCCATAAAAAAGGATGAGTTCATGTCCTTTGCAGGGACATGGAAGAAGCTGGAAACCATCATTCTCAGCAAACTAACACAAGAACAGAAAAACCAAACATCACATGTTCTTACTTATAAGTGGGAATTGAACAATGACAACAGATGGACACAGGGAGGGGAACATCACGCACCACCAGGGCCTGTTGGAGGGTAGGGGGCTAGGGGAGGGATAGCATTGGGAGAAATACCTAATGTAGATGACTGGTTGATGGGTGCAGCAAACCACCATGGCACATGTATACCTACATAACAAACCTGCACGTTCTGCACATGTACCCCAGAACTTAAAGTATATTAAAAAAAAAAATGCTGTGTTACTCTCCTGCTGAAGTTTAACAGCTTTTCTCTTCATAAGCATTCCCTTGGTGTCGTGAATTTTTAAAATTTGATTTCAGAGCTCCAAAAAAGTTGATTCTGACACTTTATGCCAGATTAATTCTTGCTTTAGTGGAAGAACAGAGCTTTGGAGTGCACTACTCTCTCATTTTTCATTGGTGTCACTAAATATATTTGCTTTTAAATGGTGTCTGACCATTTCTATGTGACAGTTTATAATTACTTTTCGCAGTTTCTGAACACTTGGAACCTTGTTCTCAAAAGTTATACATTTTCATTTTCATTAGAGATAGCCTAGTTCCTGTATGCCAAAATGTGTTTACTTGTATGGCCACTCTTAGAGATCTTACAGGCTTTCACTGAATATAGCTTCATCTGCTTCTGCTTGAACATGTTGGGGTGTACAGGAACACCATCTACAACTAGTTTGCTTCACCATCCCCAAGTGCTCCGGGTAGCCATTTTCCCACTTCTCCTCCATCTACCTCTCAAAAATGAATATTTAACACTGAAATGACTACCCAAAAAAAATTACCTGTTCAGACTGATGTTATCACAGACATTTCAACCATAATACAAATATTTTATTTAATAGCTTTAATTGAACAAATGCAAATATAGCCAATACACACAAACCAACATTAGGTTCTCACAATGTGGTCAATTGCGGTTGTTTTAAGCATCATAGCTTAGAATACACTGTCTTTTGTTTATGTCTCATCTAACCACAGGCAAGGTGGTTTGAATGCTACAGCTTTTATACTTGCTCTAACATTTTAGAAATATATTGTTCCATCATTGGTCTCCAAATAGATTTATTTTTTTCCTTCCATCTTCTATTTTAGGTTCAGAGGGTACATACACAAGTTTGTTACATTGGTAAATTGCATGTTGCTGGAGTTTGGTGTGCAAATTATTTCATCACCCATGTAGACAGCATATCAACTAATAGGTTGTTTATCCAGTCTCACCCTCCTCTCACTTTTCATCCTCAAGTAGGCCTCGGTATTTACTGTTCCCTTCTTTGTGTCCACATGTACGCAATGCTTAGGTCGCATTTATAAGTGAGAACATTTAAGTATTTGACTTTCTGTGCCTGCATTAATTTACTTAAGATAATGGCCTCCTAAGCTCCATCCATGTTGCTGCAAAGAAAATGATTTCATTCGGTTTTATGGCTGCATAGTATTTCATGATGTATATGTGCCACATTTTCTTTATCCAGTCCACCGTTGATGGGCACCTCTGCTCATTCCATGTCTTTGCTATAGTCAATAGTGCTGTGACGAACATACATGTAAATTTTTGGTAAAACGATCTCATTCCTTTGGACGTATAGCCAGTAATGGAATTGTTGGGTTGAATGGTGGTTCTAAGTTCTTTGAGAAATCTCCAAACTGCTTTCTAGAGTTGCTGAACTAACTTACATTCCCACCAGTGGTGTATAAGCATTCCCTTTTCTTCACAGCCTCACCAGTGTTCTTTTTTGTCTTTTTCTATTAATAGTCATTCTAATTGGTATGAAATGGTACCTCATTGTGGTTTTCATTCGCATTTCCCTAATGATTAGTGGTATTGACCATTTTTTTTCATATGCTTGCAGCCAGATGTATGTTTTCTTTTGAGAAGTGATTGTTCATGCTCTTTGCCCATTTTTAAACGGGATTGTTTGGTTTTGTGGTTGTTGACTTTTTAAAGTTCCTTATAGACTCGTATATTAGACCTTTGTCAGATGCATAGCTTGCAAATATTTTCTACCCATCTGTAGGTTGTCTGTTTACTCTGTTGATAGTTTTATTTGTTTGTTTTTTTGTTTTGTTTGTGTGTGTGTGTGTGTGTGTGTGTGTGTGTGCAGAAGCTCTTTAGTTTAATTAGGTCTCACTTGTCAATTTTTGATGTTGCTGCCATTGCTTTTGGCATCTTCATCAGGAAATTTGCCAGTTCTTAAGTCCAGAATGGCACTTTCTAAGTTTTATAGTTTGAGAGCTTACATATAAGTCATTAATTCACCTTGAGATAATGTTTATATATGGTGTAAGGAAGGGGTCTAGTTTTAATCTTCTGCATATGGCTAGCCAGTTATCCCAGCACTGCTTATTTAATAGGGGGTCCTTTCACAGTTGCCTGTAATTGTTGACTTTGCGAAAGATCAGGTGGTTGTAGGTGTTCAGCTTAATTTCTGGGTTCTCTAATCTGTTCCATTGGTTTATGTGTCTGTTTTTGTGCCAGCACAGTGCTGTTTTGTGTACTGTAATCTTGTAGTATAGTTTAAAGTGGTGCAGTGTGATGCCTCTAGCTTTGCTCTTTTTGCTTAGGATTGATTTGGCTATTCAGGCTCTTTAGTTGTTGTTGTTGTTCCATATGAATTTTAAAACAGCTTTTTTCTAATTCTATGAAGAATTGCATTGGTAGTTTGATAAAAATAAAATTGAATCCATAAATGTTTCTCCATTTGTTTGTGTCATCTCTCATTTCTTTCAGCAGTTTTTTTGTAATTCTCCTTGTAGAGATTTTTCACCTCCCTGAGTAGCTGTATTCCTAGGTATTTTATTCTCTTTGTGGCTATTCTGAATGGGATTGCATTCTTGGTTTGACTCTCAACTTGGACATGTTGGTGTATAGAAACACTCCTGATTTTTGTAAAATTATTTTGCATCCTGAAACTTTACTGAAGCTGTTTATCAGTTCTAGGAGCCTTTGGGCAGAGACTATGGTGTTTTCTAGGTATAGAATCAATTGAATCTGTGAAGAAAAATAGTTTGACTTCTCTTCCAATTTGAATACCTTTTATATGTTTCTCTTTCCTGATTGCTCTGCTTAGCACTTCCAGTACTATGTTGAACAGGAGTGGTGAGAGTGAGCATCTTTGTCTTGTTCCAGTTCTCAAAGGGAATGTTTCAAGCCTTTGCCCATCCAGTATGATGTTTGTTTTAAGTTTTTCATAGATGGCTCTTATTATTTTAAGATATGTTCCTTTGATGCCCAGTTTCCTTTGGGTTTTTAACATGAAGTGGTGTTGAATTGTATTGAAAGTCTTTTTTGCATCTATTGGGATGATCATGTACTTTTTGTTTTTAGTTCTGTTTCAGTGATAAATCACACTTACTGATTTATGTATGTTGAATCAACCTTGCATCCTAGGAATAAAGCCCACTTGATTATGGTAAGTCAGATGTTTTATGTGCTAAATTTGGTTTGCTAGTATTTTGTCCAGGAATTTTGCATTTATGTTCATCAAGGATACTGGCCTGAACTTTTCTTTTCTTATTTTATCTCTGCCAGGTTTTTGTATCAGAATGATGCTGGTCTCATAGAATGAGTTAGGGAGCAGCCCCTTTTCCTCAATTTTTTGGAATAGTTTCAATAGGATTGGTACCAGCTCTTCTTTACATGTCTGGTAGAAATAAGCTGTGAATCTTCTGGTCCAGAGCTTTTTCTGGTTAGTAGGCTTCTTAATACTGATTCAATTTCAGTGCTTGCTATTGGTCTGTTCAGGGTTTCGATTTCTTCCTAGTCTAATCCTAGAAGGTTTTATTTTTCCAGGAATTTATTCATCTTTTCTAGGTATTCTAATTTGTGTGCATAGAGGTGTTCATAATAGTCTCAGGGATTTTTGGTATTTCCGTGAGTTTGACGGTAATGTCCCCTTTGTCATTTCTGACTGTCTTTATTTGCATCTCTCTTTTCCTTTATTAGTCTGGCTAGCAGTCTGTCAATCTTATTTTTTCTTTCCAAAAACAAACTTCTGGTTTCATTGATCCATTGTACGAATTTTTGCATCTAATTTCATTCTGTTCACATCTGATTTTGGTTATTTCTTTTCTACTGCTGGTTTTGTGGGTGATTTGCTCTTGTTTTTTTTAACTCCTCTAGCTGTAATGTTAGATTGTGTTTTTTTTGTTTTTTGTTTTTTTTCGAGACAGAGTCTCATTCTGTCACCCAGGCTGGAGTGCAGTGGTGCAATCTTGGCTCACTGCAACCTCTGCCTCCCAGGTTCGAGCAGTTCTTGTGCCTCAGCCTCCTGAGTAGCTGGGACTACAGGGACCCACCACTACACGCAGCTAATTTTTGTATTTTTGGTAGGACAAGGTTTCACCATGTTGGCCAGACTGGTCTCGAATTCCTGATCTCAGATGATCCACCCGCCTTGGCCTCCCAAAGTGCTGGGATTACGGGTATGAGCCACTGCACCCAGCCTAGATTGTTAATTTGAGATCGTTATAACCTTTGTTGTGGGTATTTAGTGCTACAAACTTTCCTCCTAACACTGATTTAGCTGTGTTCCAGAGATTCTGATATGTTGTATCTGTGTTTTTATTAGTTTCAAATACTTCCTTGTTTTTTGCTTTAATTTCATTGTTTACCCAAAAGTCATTCAGAAGCAGATTGTTTGATTTCCATGTAATTGTATGGTTTTGAAGGATCTTCTTGGTATTGATTTCTATTTTTAGTGCACTATGTTTTGACAGTGTGGTGGATATGATTTTATTGCTTTTAAATTTATTATGAATTTCTTTATGGCTGAGCATGCAGTCAATTTTAGTGTATGTGCCATATGAAAATGAGAAAAATGCATATTCTGTTGTTGGCTAAAGTGCTCTGTTGATGTCTTTCAAGTCCATTTGGTCAAGCATTGAGTTTAGTTCCAAAATATCTTTGTTAGTTTTATGCTTTGATGATCTGTCTAATATTGTCAGTGGGGTGTTGAAGTATCCCACTATTATTATGTGGTTATCTACATCTCTTTGTAGGTCTCTAAGAACTTGTTTTATGAATCTGGGTGCTCCAGTGTTGGGTGCATATATATTTAGAATAGTTAAGACTTCTTGTTTAATTGAACCCTTAATCATTATGTAGTGCCCTTCTTTGTCCTTTTTAATCATTGTTGGTTTAAACTCTTTTTTGTTTGAAATTAGTACAACAACTCCTATTCTTTTTTGTTTTCTGATGCCTTATAGATTTTTCTCCATTCCTTTATTTTAAGACTATAACTGTCATTGCATGTGAGATGGCTCTCTTGAAGGCAGCATAGAGTTAGGTCTTTCTTCTTTATCCAACTTGCCATTCTGTGCCTTTTAAGTGGGGCATTTAGCCCATTTTACATTCAGTATTAATATTGATATTTAAGGATTTCATCCTGCCATTGTGTTGTTAGCTGGTTGTTATGTAGACTTGATTGTGTAATTGCTTTATGGTGTCAATGGTCTATGTACTTATGTGTGTTTTTGTGGTGGTCAGTAGTGGTCTTTTGTTTCCATGTTTAGCACTCCATTAAGGAGCTCTTTTAAGGAAGGTGGTAATAACTTCCCTTAACATTTGCTTGTCTGAAAAGGATTTTATTTCTCCTCTGCTCATGAAGCTTAGTTTGGCTGGATGTGAAATTATTGGTTGGAATTTATTATGTAAACATGCTGAACATAGGCCCTCAACCTCTTCTGGCTTGTAGGGTTTATGCTGAAACGTCCGCTGTTATCCTGACATGGTTCCATTTGTAGGTGATCTGCCTCTTCTCTATAGCTGCCTTTAATATTTTTTCTTTCACATTGACCTTTGAGAATCTGATGGCTTTTTGTTCTTGGGGATGGTAATCTTGTATAGCATCTCACAGGGTTTCTCTGCATTTCCTAAGTTTGAATATTGATCTCTCTAGCAAGGCTGGGAAAAATTTCATGGACAATATCCTCAACTTTGTTTTTCAAGCTTGTTCTCTTTCCCTGTCTTTCAGGGATGCCAATGGGTCATAGATTTGGCTCTTTACATAGTCCCATATTTCTCAGAAGTTTGGTTCATTTTTTAAAATTCTTTTTTCATTAACTTTGTCTGATTGAGTTGATTCAAAGAACTGGTATTCCAGCTCAGAGATTCTTTCTTAAGCTTGGCCTATCCTGCTAGCAATACGTCCAATAGTATTATGAAGTTTTTGTAGTGAGTTTTTCAGCACTATCAGATCAGTTTGGTTCTTTCTTAAAATGGCTATTTCATCTTTCAGTTCTTGAATAATTTTACTGGATTCCTTAGATTCCTTAGACTGGGTTCAACTTTCTCCTGAATCTCAGTGATCTGCATTGCTATCCAGATTCTGAATTCTATGTCAGTCATTTCAGCTCTTTCAGTCTGGTTAAGAACCATTGCTGGGAATCTAGTGCAGTCATTTGTAGGTAAGAAGACACCCTGTCTTTTAGAGTTATTGGAGTCCTTGCAATGGCTTTTTCTCATCTGTGTGACATGATGTTTCTTTCATCTTTGAAGTTGCTGTTCTTTGGATGGGTCTTTTTCCTTTTATATTCTTTGATGCCCTTGAGGGTTTCGCTGTGGCATAAGTTGTGTTTAGTCAACTGGCTTTGTTTCTGGATGATTTCAGGGGGCCAAACGTCAGCTTAGCACTCTTGGGCTACATGCTGTAACCCTGGGGATCCCCTTCAGGCCCATGACTTTTCTCTCTGGCTCCTTGAGGTTAAGCACCTGGTGCACTAAAGGGACTGAGGTATTCTCAGTCCATTGACAGCAACACTCTTATGTGGGGTCCTGGCAAAAGTACTTAATCAGGGTGGTGGGGTCCACACTTGCATGCACATGCTGGCAGCAGCAGGGCAGCAAGGTCTGCACTCACACAGAGGCTGGTCGGGTTGGGGGCAACATGAGCTCCACGCATGCATGCACCAGCAAAGTGGTGGGGGGTGGCTGCAGGCAGGTGTGTGCTGGCAGTGGCCCTCTGCAAAAAACTCTCTGATGGCTAGGCAGGGTCTGCCAGTGAAAGAGCTATGGAGGTGGCCACTGGGAAACACCCTAGTTGGGCATCTGAGGATGCACTGCCAGTGGGTGCAGGCAGGAAAGGATCCTGGGAGAAGATGGAAGACAGCGAGGCACTCAGATCTGAATGGTCCCATCCCACAGGCAAGATAGTTCTGGTCTGTCTAGATCCAACAATCAACAAAAGCCAAAGCCAGCTAAGGGAACATGGCAAGCTTTGAGGGATGGATGTCCCTTGCTGTGTTCCACTGCAGCCATTCCCATGCCAAACCCTCTGGGCTTCACACAGGCTGGAGTGTTGGGAACAGGCCCCCATATCTGGCCATAAACAGGCCCCCAAACTGGCCATAAACAAAATCTCTGCAGCACTGTGACATGCTCATGATAGCTACGATGCCCACGCTGAAGGTTGTTGGTTTACAGGAAAGAGGGTAAGGAACACCTGGCCCACCCAGGGCGGAAAACCACTTAAGGTGTTCCTGAACCACAAACAATAGATGAGTGATCTGTGCCTTAAGGACATGTTCCTGCTGCGGATAACTAGCCAGAGTCCATCCGTTTGTTTCCCGTTTTAATCTATAATCTATGGAAACAATGCTTATCACTGGCTTGCTGTCAATAAATATGTGGGTAAAACTCTGTTCATGGCTCTCAGCTCTGAAGGCTGTCAGCCCCTTGATTCCCACTCTGCACTCTATATTTCTGTGTGTGTGTCTTTAATTCCTCTAGTGCCACTGGGTTAGGGTCTCCACGACTGAGCTGGTCTCGGCACTGGAGTCCTAGTCCCTGCCAATTCTCCAAGCAGCTCTTCCTGCCAGCTCAAATGTTCATGAGGGTCATGGGGTGTCCTGCATCTAGGATTCTGGAGGTCCATGGTGAGAGTGGGCCACTCCATAGCTACTTAACTCACCCCTTCCTTACGAACCACTTGGGCCCAGGAATGAGTCCCAGTGCTCAACAACCCTGTGTAAAGTTCCCAGCTTCCTCTCTTCTTAGCCCAGGGTCTGCATCCTCCCTCCATCCACTCTCAAAGCCTTCCTTCCAGAGATCTGCTCAAAGTGTGCTGGTCTTCTTGATGGTTTTGTCTGTCAGTAAGAGAAGCTCTTCCTGGCTGCATCTATTCAACCATCTTGGCTCCTCTCCCAAATAACTTTAATAATAAGTTAGAATTTGTTTTGCTTTGCTCCTGAGGCCTTTTTTTTTTTATCTCTCAGAATGAAAACCTGTCCTGCTAAATAACTCGTATTTATATTGTCAGATAAATCCTACTACATATTCAATTCACAGAGAGAAATAGACATTCTGGACTAGAGTGAGCTATAATGGGTTGTATTTCATCTTACCTGTAGATCTGTAGCAAAGAAGACAAGAGATAATTAAAACACAGATATAAACCCTTGTCTTTTTTTTTTAACACGTTATCGTCCGTCTTATATTTCTCTAGTTGTAAAACAAATGACAAAGTACTAGATAGTGATATTCCATCAACCAAGAGATAAAATAAGAAACTATGATTGGACATTTAAATATATAGTTAAGACTAAACATGTGAAGGAATTATTACTAAAGAACAGAATGTAGATGCTTTAAACTTTCAAGATGTGAAAATAATATATAATTAAAATCAGAAAGTGATAAGAAAGGAGGTTTGGAGAAATATAAAATCATTACGATCTCTTATCTTTCATGACATAGAGTCAACATGTACTGTGTTACAGTGAAAATATTGTATCTAAAATGTACAGTTACATTATTCTGTTAATAGTGCTCACAATCTTTTTGTTTTTTACTTAGAAGACTCTTTTAGAGGTTAGTATCTCAACTGATAAGGACATCTTTTTTTCCTATGTGTAGGGGGCAATAGTCCAAACCCATTGGAATAGACACTTATGCAGATTTTCTTTTCCTCTTTGGCTTGTTTTTTTAAGTTGACATTTTTATGGAAAGCCAGAAAATGCAGCTGAACAGAAGCTCATTTTTCAATATAGACAGTTGACCCTTGAACGTGTGGTGGTTAGGGGCACTGAAACCCTGCTCAGCTAAAAATGTATGTATAACTTTCTATTCCTCCAAAACTTTACTAATAGTCTACCACTATTAACCAGAAGCCTTACTGATAACATAAACAGTTGATTAATATATATTTTGAATTTGTATTATATGTTTTATTCTTAAAGTAAGCTAGAGAAAAGAAAATGTTATTGAGAAAGTAATAAGGGAAAGAAAATATATTCACTATTCATTAAGTGGAAGTGGATCATCATGAAGTTCTTCATTCTTGTTGTCTTTGCATTGAATAGGCTGAGGAGGAGGAAGAAAAGGAAAGATTGGTCCCGCTGTCTCAAGGCTGGCAGAGACAGGAGAAAATTCACATATAAGGGACACTATTCAAACCTGCGTTGTTCAAGTGTCAACTGTACAGTCTTTTCTTTTTAGATAAGCTTTAGGTTCACAGCAAAATAGAGTAGAAAGTAGAAAGCATTCTCATATACCCCCTCCCCACACACATGCACAGCCTCCCCCACCATCAATGTTCTCCACCAGCATGGTACATTTGCTATAATCAATGAACCTACACTGACACATGATTGTCATTCAAAGTCTATAATTTACATTTGATTTCACTCTTGGTGTTGTATATGGTGAAGACATTTTTATCTCAAGTTCAGTAATTGTTTCAGTTTCTTTCTCTAATTTAAATCAAGTAACAATAATGTAATATTTTTATTTAAAGTAACATGTTTATATAAGAGCATTTTTGTGAAATGTCTTCTATCTTTTTTTTTTTTTTTTTTTTTTGAGATGGAGTCTCGCTTTGTCACCCAGGCTGGAGTGCAGTGGCACGATCTCAGCTCATTGCAAGCTCCGCCTCCCGGGTTCACACCATTTTCCTGCCTCAGCCTCCCGAGTAGCTGGGACTACAGGTGCCCGCCACTACGACTGGCTAATTTTTTTTTGTATTTTTAGTAGAGACACCAGAAGTGCCTTCTATCTTTACTTATTTTTATATATATTCATAGAAGAGTTTTTAGCTAATCCTAACAATGGTTGTTTCTGGGTGGTGGAATTTTAACCATTTATGTTATCCTGTATTGCCTGAACTTCTTAAAATAAATATGTTTCATTTTTATCAAAATAAATTGTCATAGTTTTTTCAAAAACTTAGAAGAAAAATATATGTCTAAGGGATCACTAATAAATATTTTCACAGTAAATGTTAATTCTGATGTATAACATTTGGCATAATCATCTTAGAAAGATAGCTTGGAAACCAGTAAGAGTCTTGACAAATCCTAAAAGAATCCTAAGCATGCAAAATTGAGAGCACAGGAGTGGGATAAGTGGAATAATTTAATTGTTTCAATTGTTTACTTAAGCCAAAATTAGTAAAGTATATCCATCAAATATGACACATATTTAAAGTAGGTTAGACAAAACTTCATCTTGTACTAGTCTTTTGCAGCTGCCATAACAAAATACCAGAGACTGGGTGGATTATGTACATGGTGTTTGTCCAAAAGGCAGATAGTGAAGGGTTGGAAGGTGTGTGAGTTAATAACCAACAAAAACCAAACGTTTTGTTGTATTAATTTTTTTTTAAGTCCCCACATTACTTTATAAAATAAGACAAAAACAGAACAAAAGAAAGCATACTCTGCAGCCAAAGAATGAGGCTGAGGCTTCACCACCAGAATTTGCATGCACCTTTTTATAACTCTAAAAGCAGAGACCCACAGGCGGGAACTTTATAGCCAATTAGGGTAAACCAAAGACACAATTTATAAATTTTTATTAATCTTTTCACATATAACAACATATTGTAACTTTATAAAATGTTTAATGTTTCCCAAAGTGAAAACTAATTCAATCCTTAGTAATCCTAACATGTTTTTCTTTTTTTTTTCCATTACGTTAGTGGGGTACAGGTGGTTTTTGGTTACATGAGTAAGTTCCTTAGTGGTGATTTTTGAGATTTTGGTGCACCCATTACCCGAACAGTTTACACTGCACCATATTTGTAGTCTTTTATCCCTCTCCCACCTCCTACTCTTCCCGCCCAAGTTCCCAAAGTCCATTGTATCATTCTCATGCCTTTGCATCCTCATAGCTTAGCTCCCACAAATCAGTGAGAACATCTGAAGTTTGGTTTTCCATTCCTGAGTTACTTCACTTAGAATAATAGTCTTCAATCTCACTCAGGTCACTGCAAATGCTGTTAATTCATTCCTTTTTATGGAGTCTGCACACCAGATTAGTGCCCTCCCCCGAGTTCTGGCCAGGAGGCTTCTCACTCCATTCAAATTATTACAAAGTTCAGCTAGAGATTTCCTTCTCCCTGTGGAGTTTTACCCCCTGCTCCTCTGGCCGCCCTCCCAGTGGATCCCTGTGGTGCTAGGCAGGAATGTGCTGCTGGGGGACCCAGTGAGCTTCCAGGGCCTTTTTCATTGCTTCTCTACCCCTGTGTTTCACTTGGCTCTCTAAATTGACTCAGCTCCAGGTAAAGTCGGAAACTTCTCCAGGAAACAGACCTTCAGTTTCTCCAGTGGGGGTGTGTGTTTGGGAGAGGAGGGTCTCTCCCACTTCCACAGTTGGGGCACTCACAGTATTTGGCTTGTCTCCGGAGTCCTACAGAAGCAGTCTGCTTCCTTCAGCGTGTCTATGGGTCCTCTTGGTATTTATTGCTGGTTTGTTCTTGCAGTTGATCTGGAGCTGAAATTCACAATGCGAGCCTCTGCATACTGCTCTGTCGGGTGCTGCAATCTAGTCTTGCCTCCCATCCACCATGATGATCCCGATCCCTAACATGTGTTTCTTATCAGCTAGAACAGCAATTCTCAGATTTTTTTGGTCTAAGGATCTTTTATACTGTTCAAATGTATTGACGATTCCAAAGAATGTACTTTAGAAAAATCTAGAAAACACAGAACTACACAAGTACTCATTCCACAAACCATCAAAGCAGTAATATAAACATCTGCAATGTAGCATCTAGAAAACTCCATTGTGCACTCATGAGAGAATGTAAATGCAAAAAGCATATCACATCTTAGTATTACTATGAAAATAAAAGTAACTTTGAAGACTTCCTGCAAAAATCACCCCAATTCCAATTATTGCACCCCACCCCACTTATAACAAAGGTGCTATAATTTTGCCAAATTCTAATTTTTTCTGTGTTTTTATTCATTTTTAATTACTTAATATATAATATTTTGTATCTGCTATTTTTTTTTTATTAATCTACTAGCATATCTCCATGTTTGGATCAGATCTTTGTAAATAGTAATGTAATTTTGCATAGGGTGGCATCATTAAGAAATAATCTGTTTACATATGTTTTTAGAGAAAACTGGCAGCTCAAGCAAGCTCAGCCCCACCTGGAAGAGATGATCAAAACTTGTGGGTTTGAATGAGTTTTCATGATAATTTTTTAAATATTACACCACATATACTTGTGACCCAAATAGGGATGATATTCATGGAATTTGGATGGAGACAATTATGTAAGAGGCTGAATTAGACATCTTTTGATGCCCTTTCCCACTCTAGAATTTTGTGATTCAATATTCATTGATTACCAATTTCATTTTACTTCTTCTGGTCTGCCCTTAAAGGAACTGCTATTTAAAATAATCGAAGAGCAAAAAATAAAACTCTTGAAACCAGACACCTTCTTTATAGGAATTTTTTCACTTTTTTCCAGCTTTATTGAGTATAGTTGACAAATAAAAATTGTATATATGTAAGGTGTACAACTTGATGTTTTGATATACATTGTGAAATGAAAACCACAATCAAGCTAATTAACATATCTATTACATCACATAGTTACCTTTATTTTTAATTTCTGGTGAGAACCCTTACAATCTACTCTTTTAACAAATTTCAAGTATAAAATATAGTATTGTTAGCTATAGTCACCATATTGTACATTAGATCTCAAAATGTATTCATCCTGTCTAACTGAAACTTTGTACCATTTAACCAAGATCTTCCCATTTCCCTCTCCCTGCAGTCCCTGGCAACCACCATTCTATTCTGCTTCAATGAGAATGACTATTTTAGATTCCACATATAAATGAGATCATGTCGTATTTGCCTCTCTGAGTCTGAATTATCACCATATGATTCAGCTATGCCACTTCTGGTTATATAACCAAAAAAAATGAAATCAGTGACTCAAAGAAACGTCTGCACTCCTATGTGCACTGCAGCATTATTCAAAATAGAGAAGCTATAGAAACAACCTATATATCTCTTGATGAATGAATGGATAAAGAGATAAAGAAAATGAATGTGGTGTGTGAAATATTATTCAGCTTTGAAAAGAAGAAAATCCTGCCATTTGAGAAAATGTGGATGAACGTAGGGGATATTATGCTAAATGAAATAATCCAGACTTCATGACAATTTGGGGTGACTCTGAGTCATTATGCTACAAGGACTTCTCTGATAAAACAGAGATGTTATTGTTTAATGGGTACAGAGTTTCAGTTCAAGAAGATAAAAAAATTCTTGAGATAGATGGTAATGGTTACAAAACAATGAAGATGTACTTAATGCCACTAACTGTATGCTCAAAATTTGTTAAAATGATCAATTTTATGTTACATATGTTTATGCAATAAAATTTGTAATTACTAAACAATCAAAGAAACCAGAAAATAAAATCCATAATGCAGGGGAAAACCAATCAATCAAAACAAACCTAGAATTGACACAAATGCAAGAATTAGCAGGCAAGAACCTTGAACAATCATTGTAATATAGTCAAGACATGGAAGACGGAAAATAAGACCCAAATCAAATTTCTAAAGATGAAAACCTGCAGAAAATGAGGTGAAAAATGCACTAAATGAAATTAACATCAGATTATACATTTCAGAAGAAAACATATATAGAACTTGATAAAGTAGAAACTATCCAAAAAAAGAAACAGAAAAAAGAGAACATTAAAATGTAATCATATTTAAAAACTAACAATAAAAAGATTATCTCAGTAGATACAGAACGAGCTTTGACAAAATCTAACATCCATTCCTGTTAAAAACCCTAAAAAATTTAGACTAAAAAGAGACCTCAGCAACCCAATGAAGGGCACCTACAAACAAACCAACAAAAAACAGCTAACATCATATTAATGGTGAAAGTCTGAATGTTTTCCTCCTAAGACCAGGAGTAAGACAAGGATGTCCATTTTCGCTAGTTCTAATCACCCATATACTAGAGGTTTTAGCCAATGCAATAAGTAAGTAAAACAAATAACAGTCATCCAAATTGGAAAGGAAAAACTAAAACTGTCTTCATTCACAGAGGTTGTGATCGTCTATGTAGAGAATCTGAGAGAGTCTTCAAAAAAAATTATTAGAATCAGTTAATCCGTTCAACAAAGTTGCAGGATATAAGGTCAATATGTAAAATGCAATTGTAGTTTTATATAATGTCAAGGAAAAAATAGAAATTGAAATTTTAAGAAATGAGACCAGACACAGTGGCTCATGCCTGTAATCCTAGCACTTTGAGAGGCTGAGGTAGGAGGATCACTTGTGGTCAAGGGTTCGAGGCCAGCCAGGCCAACATGGTGAAACCCCATCTCTACAAAAAATACAAAAATTTGCCAGGCATGGTGGCGGGAGCCTGTAATCCCAGCTATTTGGGAGGCTGAGGCATGAGAATCACTTGAACCCGGGAGGCAGAGGTTGCAGTGAGCCGATATCGTGCTGCTGCACTCCAGCCTCGGTGATAGAGTGAGACTGTCTCAAAAAACAAACAAAATGATACAATGTACAATAACATCAAAGAATATGAAATATAATATTTACGGATAAATCTGACAAAAGATGTGCAAGAGCTGTACATAAAAAGGTATAAAATAATATTACAGAGAGAAATTAAAGATCTAAGTAAATGGGAGATCTACTATGCTCATGGATTAGAAAACTCAATATCGCTAAGATATCAATTCCCCTCAAATTGATATATGCTTCAAGACACTTCAGTCAAAATACAAGCAGACATTCTTGCAGACATTGACAAACTGATTCTAGGATTCATGTGGAAATGCAAAGCCAGTATAGCCTAAACTATTTTGAAAAAGTATAAAGTTGAAGGGTTAACACTATCTAATTTTAAGACATATAAAGCTACAAAATGGTGTGACATTGGCATAAAAACAAACAAATTGTTCAATAAGACAAAGCAGAAAGTCCACAAATAGACCTATAAATAGAGGTACATGTAATTTTCAACAAAGACTAAAAGGTAATTTAGTGGTGTTGGGATATCCATATTGATACTTGTATGCAAAAAACCGTTAAATCCATATTTCATACCATGTATAAAGATTACTTCAAAATGGATCGTAGACCAAAGTGTATAACCTAAAACTATAAAACTTCTATAATAAAAACATAAGATTACATTCGTGATCTTGGGTTAGGGAAACATTTCTCAGATGTTATACTAAAAGCACAGTCCAAAAAAAGGAAAACAAAAGGATAAATTGCTCTTTATCAAAATCAAAAACATCTCTTCTTCAAAGGACACTCTATCTTGAATGAAAGGAACTTGTATTCAGAATATATGAAGAATTCTCAAAAGTCAATTAAGAAATAAACTAAACAATTCTTTAATTGACAGTTAAATTTTAATTTGTATGGCAAGATGGTCCACATCATTAGTCTTTTGGGACATACACATTAAAACCACAATGAGATAGTAACATATGTTTATCAAAATGTCTAAAATTAAAAACACTGACTATATCAAGGGTTGGTAAGAATATGAAAGAGCTAGAAGTCTCATAAACTGGTGGGGAGAATGTAAAATTGTACAACCACAGAGAAAAACAGTTAGGCAATTTCTTTAAAAGTTAAACATCCACTTACCGTATGATCCAGCCAATTCGCTCATCAGGATTGACAGAAGCATATGTCAAAAAACACTTACACAAGAATGTGTATAGCATCTTTTTCTTCCTAATAAAATCAAACTGGACACAACTCAAATGTCCATTAACAGGTGAACGAATAAACAAACTGGTTTATCTATACAATTAAATACTATTTAGCAATAAATCGAATGAAGTATTCATGTGTGAATGTATCTCAAGATAATTATACTGCTGCCTTGAAGAAAAGGACCCAGTCCTAGCAAGATTCATCGCCTGCTGACTAAACAGCTCTTGGGCCCTGAATAATTCACGATGGTAGCCAGGCAGTACTTGCTGTGGGGCCTGGGTGAGACTGAGAAGCACTGGCTTCAGGTGTGACTCAGCACATTCCCAGCTGTGGTGGCTACAAGGAGAGACTCCTTCTGCTTGAGAAAAGGAGAGGAAGAGTGACGGGGATTTTGTTTTGCAGTTTAGGTACCAGCTTGGCCGAAGTAGGTTAGAGTACCAAGCAGACTCTTGGGGTCCCCATTTCCTGGCCTTGGCACTTGGACAGCATTTCTAGACCTGCCCTAGGCCAGAAGGGAAACCATCCGCTCCTGAAGGGAGAGTTCCAGGTCTGGCAGCATTCACCTCAAGCTCAATAGTATAATTTGAAGTCTGGTAATGTGATTCTTCCAGTTTTGTTCTTTTTGCTCAGGTTAGCTTTGGCTATTCTGAGTCTTTCATGGTTCCATATAAATTTCAGGATCTTTTTTTCTACGTCTGTGAAGACTGTCATTGGTATTTTGATACGGATTGCTTTGAATCTGTAGATTGCTTTAGATAGTATGAACATTTTAATAATATTAATTATTCTAATCTATGAACACGGAATAGCTTTTCATTTTTTTGTATTCTCGTTCCATTTCTTTCATCAGTGTTTTAAAATTTTCATCATAGAGACCTTTCACTTCTTTGGATAAATTAATTCCTACAAATTTTATCTATAGTGATTGTATATGGAATAACAGTTTCTGTTATTTCTTTTTTCAGTTTGTTGATTTCTTTTTCAGTTGTTCACTGTTGGTGTATAGTGCAGTGGTACTAGCATAAAAACAGACACATAAACCAATGGAACCAAATAGAGACCCAGAAACAAAACCATACATCTGCAGTGAACTCATTTTCTACGAAGTTGCCAAGAACTCGCAATGAGGAAAGGATTGTCTCTTCAAAATAAATGGTGCTGGGAAAACTGGATGTCTATATGTAGAAGAATGAAACTAGATCCTTTTTTCTTGAGTGCCTCTTTGAGTGGTATGAAGTTAAAACCAGGTACTGTGATCACTCATTTGATTTTTGATTCTTATGAAGATGCTTTTTTGTGTGAATATTTGTTCCATTTGGTGTTCCTGCAGAGAGGATGATTAGTAAAGGCTTCTATTGGGCCATCTTGCTCCCAAATAATATAATTTTTATTTTAATCTTCTGTCATACTAGCTAACTGGTTAATTAAAAAGGAAAAACTGGAACTATGGAAGTGGGAATTGCACAAATATTAAAATAAGTGTACAGAGAAAGGCACATTCAAGCAATGCTGGAGGGAATGTAAACTGACACAATTTGACATATCTAAGATAATACACAAATGTATTTTTGTGCCTTTATTATCATAGATATGATAGTATCTGTGATATTATCATAGACATCATGATAATGTCATAATATTATCAAACCTGGCAATTCCTCTCAAGAAAATTATCCTAAAAATATACTTAAACAAATACAAAGAGACATGTCCACAAGAAACATTCTATGTGGTATTTTTTATACCACAAACAAAACTTACTGTAAATGTCCATCACTAGGGTTGTGTTAATTAAATTATGACACAAACATACAATAGAATTTTAAGTAGCCACTAAAAAGAATGATGTAGCACTGCTGTGTTGATACAAAAAGATCTATTATGTTATTAGGTATAAAATTAGGTATGAAATATATATATTTTTAATATCTTATCATAAGATGAAAATGTCTATTATATTATTAGCTTTTTATAAGGACTGAACAGCATTACAGGATGCTCCCATTGGTACCATGGCATATACATCATGGATAGATAGGTAGATAGATAGACAGATAGATAGACATATAAATGCACACATATACCATAGGCATATAGACATGTCAATATAAATATAATTTTTCTGTAAAGAAACATAAGAAACTGTTGATTGTTCCTTCTGCAGAGTTATTTCTTGAGGAAATTCTTTACCTTATATATTGTACTGCACAATTTAAGTACTTGATCATGAGCATGTATTTTCTTTGTTTTAATAATATCAGTTCTTCAGAGAACTAGCTGGTAGTGGCTAAGAATCCAAAATTTCAATTATGCAAGAATCTGAATGAAAATCCATTAGGATGTTTTTGGCTTCTAAGCACCTTTAAAAAACTAAATTCAATATGAGTCTTTCATTCTATAAATGTAAGAAAATCAAAGTAATAATTGTAATGTATCCTGATTCATTTCTCCTGGTGTTAGATTACAATAACTTATACAATATGGAGGTCTGTGCTATCAACTTCACTTTATAACGCCTGAGACATCTTCACCTTGTTTCTAGTATCATAGTGTACTGTTCTTCTCTGTGTAGCTGGTGTAGGGTTGCATTTCATCCTAAGAAAAAAAATCAAAGTCAAAATCAGTTCAAAAAGGGCAGAAATCATTATGGAAACTACCTGTTTTTTATAATAGGTGTCCACAGCTTTTGGTATCAACCAAGAGTGCTTATATTTGTGTTTCTGGGCTCACGTGAATATAAGAGCAAGGCTTTGTTCTAATATTTGTTAATTACTTAAGTCTCTGTGAGAGATGATGGTTGCATGAAAGTAGGAATAGAGATGAATGAAGTGGTATGAGAAGTATTCCAAAGGAGAGAGCCAAAGACATAGTAAGCTACTGGCATAAGAGATTCCAGGGCAGGATATGTTTTAAGCTAGGGTAAGAGGAAAACGATGATGGTATTGAAAAATAGAAGTCAAGGTTCAGAGATGCTTTCCTGTAAATGGAAATGCCAATTCAGTTTCTCCAAAGATTACAGTTCAAAAGAGATAAACATCACGTGTATTAGGACATGGTTCATGAAATGAAAATGTGGATCTGGGTGGTCTATACATAGTACTTGATAGGTAATTAACAAAATAATTGCATCTATTTGCATTGTAAATCAGAACTGTTTGTTTTTCAACTAAAACACTAATATTGCTACACATTACAAATTATGTTACTATATTTTCACACTATTGACTTAAAAGTTTGTAAATATTCTTTTTAATCTTATCTTACCTCCTCAACAACTAGAGTAGCTTCTGTTTTATTCAATTTATATTTTCTATAAAAATAAAATAAGCTGGAGTTGCTGGGTGCTGTGGCTCATGCCTGTAATGCCAGCACTCTGGGAGGCCAAGGCGGGCAGATTGCCTTAGCTCAGGAGTTTGTGACCAGCCTGGGCAACACGGTGAAACCCAGTCTTACTAAAATACAAAAAATTAGCCGGGCATGGTGGCATGTGCCTGTAGTCCCAGCCACTCGGGAGGCTGAGGCAGGCGAATTGCTTGAACCCAAGAGGTGTAGGTTGCAGTGACCTGAGATGACACCACTGCACTCCAGCCTGGGTGACAGAGCGAGACTCCGTCTCAAAAAAGAGAGAGGAAAAAAAAAAAGCTGGAGTAAGTGGAGGTAATATTATTTAGATTGAAAATTGAAAGAAGTGTACTATTGACAATTGTGGTTCATTTTGATAGAAGCCATAATAAATCAGAAAGAAACTACCAGAAATGAGTGAAGGATACTGCTTGTAGCTACTACACTCATAGAAGAAAAGTCTAGATTTTGAAAAAAGAAGTGAAATTATGCAATAGGAGCTTGATGCAATTGAACATATGTAACACCTCCTCTTTGGTACAAGAAAAGAATTGTAATTATCTATCCAAATTAAAAAATCAGCATGCACTATCTCTCCCAAGATCCTGCCCTAAATGGCCTAATTCGCCATGCTTGCATGCCAAAGCAACCTAGGAAAATCACTCACATCTGTCAAGGTAGTTCAAATCCAACATCTTCAGGATATTCTGTGATTATGAGAGATTTGATGTTAGAATTCTAATTGGTCAGTCAATTCCATATTTCTGGCCCTTTTCTAGTGCAATAAAGCTAAAGAAGAAAAAACATTCATCAATCAATACCTGCAGCCACTGATTTTCAAAACCCAAAGCAATCCCACAATGATCAAAATAAAACTCATAAAAATAATAGAGTGAATACATAGTTTTACTGATGTTTTGGTACCTGTAATTATAAACAAAAATATATGTTTCAAATGTGGTGTATTCCAACAATGAAATATTATTTGGTGCTAAAATAAAATGTCTGAACTATCAAGCTGTGAAAGGACATGAAGGAAACTTAAATGCATACTACTAAGTGAAAGAAGCCAATCTGAAGAGGCTACATACTGTGTGATGCCAACATATGATGTTATGAAAAAGGCAAAACTAAGGAGACAGTAAAAAGATCAGTGGTTGCCAACTGAGAAAGAGGGAGGGAAGGATGAATAGAGCATAGAGGATTTTTAGGGCAGTGATTCTATTCTGTGGGATACTATCATGGCACATGCATGTCATTATACACGTGTGAAAACTCATAGAATGTCTAACACCAGAGTGAATCCTGAAGTAAATTATGGCCTTTGGCTGACGATGATGTGTCAATGAAGGTTCATCAATAGTAACTAATTTAACACTGTGTTGCAGGATACGCAAGTGGGAGAGGTTGTACTTGGGTACAGGCAGGGATTATGTGGAAACTTTCTGTGCTTTGCACTTAATTTTGCCATGAACCTAAAACTGCTTTAAAACATAAAATCTATTAAAAATTAAAAGTTTTATATATATATATGTATATACATAAAATTCATTTCTATAATTTTACTTTAAACAATTCTGACCCATTAATAGTTTGAGAATTCTTAAAATAAAATTGCTTTATCCAGAAACTCTAAAGCTTTATCCAGACTTGAGAGTTTTCAGCAAGACATTACATTACTTCAAGATTTCATTGCTTTAAGCATTCATGAGCGGTGAATTCCTATACAAGAGATGTGAAACTTAGATCTCTCTATTACAGCAGAGTGTTTCTGACCTCCAACACTCACAAGTATATGAGTAATTATAAGGAAAGTTGTTGGAAAAGTAATCCTAATTCCAAAATAACCTTTCTTCCAAGGCACTGAAACTAAAATGAATGCATAGCAGCATCCTTATTTATTAGCTGCTGGAGCAATATAAAGCTCTATCTGATAACTGTGCAAATCAGCAAAGTAATTTCCAGCTGTAAGGGGAAACAGTTTACAAATGTGCTCCTGGTCTTGCATACGTATGGCTCAGGGGAAGCAGAAGGAGGTACTATAGAGACTGAGCAGACTAGCATCTGGTCCTTACACTATCCTCCCACAGTTGATGTTTTTAAATATTGGATTTCTCCATATGTTTGCTTGAAAAATAAAAATTTGTGTTTTTTCTTTAAAAAAATTTTTTTCAAAACTCTCCCTGTCAAACTAATGAGCTCTCTTGCACTGGACCTGTACTGGCAGAGGCTGAAGGTTCACTGTGCAAGGAAGACACAGAGGAGATCCCTGCACTAATGGGAATTTGGATGAGAAGATCCACTCAGTTCTAGATGCTATAAATAAGACATATTTTAATACCAGATGGTGAGATTTCATACATAATCAAGCACAATTATTATTTTTAGTAAATACTGCTTAACTCTTTTTTTCAAAAGACAATATCACTTTAAGAATGGATATTGAAAAATCTGTTGGAAACGGTGGTTTCAAAATATGAGATTTTCTCTTCTTTCTTAAAACTTACTAAAATGTTAGTAAAGCAATGTTTTAAAGTATAAGCCTGCAAAGATAAAGAGAATAGAGATGAAGACGAGAACAGATGAAAGACTTTTCAACTTCTTTGGGGTGAAAAATGAACTGTAGAATGGCAAATGATTTATAAACTAGAATAAGTAAAAATCTTAGTACCCACAAAACTCCAGGAAGACTCTAGAGTGGGAAGTATCCATAGAAAAAGGAGTATGTGGAGGGCTGAAGTGTAGGCGTAAAAGTTGGGAGCTTCCTTGAAAGTCTGTCTTGAAAACAGATAGTTTGCCAAGTCTCCCGCTCCACTCTGTGCAGCACAGCTTCCCCAGCCAGCAGAAAAAAATTATTGGCAGATTGGTCTAGGAAACATTTCTGGAGAGATGCTAGAGTCAAGGATTCAGACATCATGCAGGGTGGGAATAAAGTGCTACACTGAAGAGAGGTACTAAAGGAAACTCTCAGTTCTCAACAGCGGCACACTTACACACATACACACACTCCTCTTTCCCTTCCCAGAACACTGGTGATCAGGCTTATCTCTCCAAGGCAAGAGACTGGTGAGTTATTTGCTGCAGACTCTAAACATTCCCAGAGAACGGGCCTTTAGATACATGACAAATTCCCAATTATAAAAAATCACTTAGCTCCTTTTCACTATATTGAAGCTAACTAGTTGAAAACCTTCATCATCAGCAAGTAGAGCTTCTAATAAGTCCACTAGTGCTCACTTTAAAATGAATCCATACAACAACAGGAGTGTTAATATGCCTTCTGTTACTGGGTAAAGGGTGGAAGGGATCTGAACTCTTTATTCACTCACAGTGTTTTCTGTGATAGCTATTTCTCACTGTGTGTGCACTTTCTGTTCTTCGTGTCTTCACATCACATGCTGTTGCATCTTAAAGCATTTTCATAGTATGTGGTTTAAGGCAGTTTCATGGTAAAATATAAAATAAAATAAAATAAAATAAATTCATACCCAGGAATTACCAAAGAGTTAATAAAACTCTTACATATCCAAGAAAGAGACTAAAATAAACAAATGTCTGGAAAGCAGATGAAAGTCAGATTAAACAAGCACAGAATCAAGCAAAGGATAAAGGCAAAGAGAATGTCCATGACAATACTGTGTAGCAAGTATAGTGACCAACCAGGACAGATTAGACAAAAGCATGAAAAAGTGCAAGAAGTGATGTCTTAAGAAAATGGAACTCATAGATTATATAACAAATCTGACCATGTGAAAAATAATACTAAGGGGTTCTCCATTAACAAGTGGGTAAGGGACATGAACAGACATGTCTCAAAAGATATACATGCAGCCAACAAATACATGAAAAAAAAAAGCTCAACATCACTGATCACTAGAGAAAAGCAAATCAAAACCACAATGAGATACCATCTCATGCCAGTCAGAATAGCTATTATTAAAAAATAAAAAAGTAACAGAATCTGGTGAGGTTGCAGAGAAAAGGGAATGCTTATACACTGTTGATGAGATTGTAAATTAGTTCAATCATTACAGAAAGCAGTGTGGTGATTCATCAAAAAGCTAAAAACAGAATTACCATTCAAAGCAGCAATCCCATTACTGGGTATATACCAAGAGAAATATAAATTATTCTATTATAAAGATACATACATGCGTATGTTCATTGCAGCACTATTCACAACAGCAAAGACATGGAATCAACCCAAATGCCCATCAGTGATAGACTGGATAAAGAAAATGTGGTACATACACACCATGGGATACTATGCAGCCATAAAAAGGAACAAGAACATGTCATTTGCAGGGACATGGATGGAGCTGGAAATCATTATCCTCAGCAAACTAATCCAGGTACAGAAAACCATGCACCACATATTTTTACTTGTAAGTGGGAGCTTGTATGTAAATGATGAAAACACATGGACACATTGTGGGGAACAAAGTGCACTGGGGCCTGTCGGGGGTGGTAGTGGGATAGGGAGAGCATCAGGAAGAATAGCTAATGGATACTGGGTTTAATTCCTAGGTGATGTGTTGATCTGTGCAGCAAACCACCATGGCACATGTTTACTTATGTAACAAACCTGCACATCCTGCACATGTGGTACTTTTAAGTACCCCAGAACTTAAAAGTTGAAGAAAAAAATAGTAAGGGGTTCTCTAGTTTTGTCAATGAGCTTAGTGATAATTCACAATAGGTACATTCGTTTTTAAGGAAAAAAGAAATAAAGCAATTATAAAATCAAAAACTAAAAGATTATTCAAAAAAGAAAGTATGAATTTATTTATTGATTCAGTACTTAATAATACTTATAAGTATCAAGTAAAATGTATTTCAAATATTTATTTATTCAAAATAATGGGGAGACAGACTGTCTTGTGTAATGAAAAATTTCTGTGTCATAGCACATGAAGGATGAGGGAAGGAAAGAAGGATGAGGGAAGGAAAGAAGATAATGTAGAATCCTCATCCACCATAAAAGGAAGTAGGACCCAGTGGCGTGGGTTCGCGAGTGGAATCTTCTGATCTGTGGGTTGCACAGTTCCATGGAAAAAGCACGGTTTCCCCAGCTGGGTAGCATGCTCACTCACTGCCTCCCTTGGCTCGGGGGTGAGGGCTTCCCTCCCCCATGTGGCTCTCGGGTGGGCCGACAAACCACACAGCATGCTCTTCCTTCCTATCTGTAGATCACGCCAGCCTCCTAGTCAGTTCTGATGAGAGAACCTGGATATCTTGGTTGCCAGTGAAGGATTCACATGCTTATTACTGTTTTTTTTGATGGGAGGCTCAGATCATCGCTGTTTCTAGTCGACCATCTTCCCTTTGTTTTCTTATCTAGAAAACTCTACCTGAAGGGATGGACTAAATCAGTGGTTCTCAGAATTGTTCCAGATCAGCAGCATCTACACCAATCTCGTTCCTTTTTATGGCTGCATGGTATTCCATGGCATATATGTACCACATTTTCTTTATGTGGTCTATCATTGATGGACATTGGGGTTGATTCCATGTCTTTGCTATTGTGAATAGCGCTGCAATGAACATATGTGTGTATGTATCTTCATAATGGAATGATTTATATTCCTTTGAGTATATACCCAGTAAGGGGATTGCTGGGTCAGATGGTATTTCAGTTCTAAATCTTTGAGGAATAGCCACACTGTCTTCCACAATGGCTGAATTAATTTACACTCCCACCAACAGTGTAAAAGTGTTCCTATTTCTCTGCAACCTCATCAGCATCTTTTGTTTCTGGACTTTTTAATAATCACCATTCTGACTGGCATGAGATGGTATCTCATTGCAATTTTGATAAGCATTTTTTTAATGATCAGTGATGTTGAGCTTTTTTTCATATGTTTGTTGGCTACATGTATGCCTTCTTTGAGAAGCATCTGTTCATTTCCTTTGCCCACTTTTTAACGAGATTGTTTGCTTTTTCTTGTAAGTTTGCTCAAGTTCTTTGTAGATTCTGGATATTAGAACTTTGTCAAATGGATAGATCGCAAAACTTTTCTCTCATTCTGTAGGTTTTCTGATTGCTCTGATGATAGTTTCTTTTGCTGTGCGGAAGCTCTTTAGTATAATTATATCCCATTTGTCAATTTTGGCTCTTGTTGCAATTGCTTTGGGCAATTTCATCACAAAAGTTTGCCCATGCCTATGTCCTGAATGGTATTGCCTAGATTTTCTTCTAGGGTTCTTATAGTTTTGGGGGTTACATTTAAGTCTTTAATCTATCTTGAGTTAATTTTTGTATATGGTTAGCCAGTACTTCCAGCCCCATTTGCTAAATACAGAATCCTTTCCCCATTGCTTGTTTTTGTCAGGTTTGTTGAAGATCAGATGGTTGTAGATGTGTGGTTTTATCTCTGAGTTCTCTATTTTGTTCCATTGGTCTCTGTGCCTGTTTTTGTACCAGTACCATGTTGTTTTGGTTACTGTAGCTTTGTAGTATAGTTTCAAGTTGGGTAGCATGATGCTACCAGCTTTATTCTTTTTGTTTAGGATTGTCCTGGCTATATGAGCTTTTTTTAGGTTCCATATGAATTTTAAAATAGTCTTTTCTAATTCTTGAAGAATGTCAATGGTAGTTTAATGGGAATGGCATTGAATGTATAAATTGCTTTGGGGCAGTATGGCCATTTTCACAATGTTGATTCTTTCTATCCATGAGCATGGACTGTTTTTCCATCTACTTGTGCCCTCTCTGATTTCCTTGAGCAGTTCTCCTTGAAGAGGCCCTTCACTTCCTTGTTAGCTATATTCCTAGGTATTTTATTATTTTTGTGGCAATTGTGAATGGGAGTTCATTCATAATTTGATTCTCTGCTTGTCTGTTGTTGGTGTGTAGGAATGTTTATGACTCCTGCACATTGATTTTGTATATTTAAATTTTGCTGAAGTTCCTTATAAGTTTAAGAAGCTCTTGGGCTGAGTCAATGGGGTTTTCTAGATATAGGATCATGTCATCTGCAAACAAAGATAATTTGACTTCCTCTCTTACTATTTGAATACGCTTTATTTTTCTCTCTTGCCTGATTGCTCTGGCCAGAACTTCCAATATTATGTTGAATAAGAGTGGTGAGAGAGGGCACCCTTGTCTTGTGCCAGTTAAGGGGAACGCTTCCACCTTTTGCCCATTCAGTATGTTATTGGCTATGGGTTTGTCGTAAATGGCTCTTATTATTTTGAGGTATGTTCCTTCAATACCTAGTTTATTGAGAGTTTTTGACATAAAGAGATGTTGAATTTTATTGAAGGTCTTTTCTGCATCTTTTGAGATAATCATGTGGTTTTTGTCTTTAGTTCTGTTTAGGTGATGAATTACATTTATTGATTTGCATATGTTGAACCAGCCTCGCATCCTGGGAATGAAGCCAACGTCCTTTTTTCAGTGGTGCAGTGGAGCGAATTCAGTGGAGCGAATTCTTAATTCGCTCTAAGAATTATCACAAAGTCACAAGACTCTCTTTTCAAATAACAAGACTTCCTTAAAGTCTTGCTATTTCAAGTGTGCTTGGCAGATCATCAGTAGCAGCAACAGCATCACGTGGAAGCTTGTTAGAAATGCAGAACACTAGGCCCCCACCCAATGACTATTCTAAACTTCTTAGCCACGAAAACAAGAAAGAGAAGGATAAAATTGAGCATTTTATTTTTTTCTTTTTAAAATTTTTTATTTTCGTAGGTTTCTGAAAAAACAGGTGGTATTTGTTTACATGAGTAAGTTCTTTGGTGGTGACTTGTGGGATTTCAGTGCACCCATCACCTGAACAGTATACACTGAACCCAATTTGTAGTCTTTTATTCCTCACCCCCCTTCCCACACTTTCTCCCAAGTCCCCAAAGTCCATTGTATCATTCTTATGCCTTTGCATCCTGATAAATTAGCTCCCACTTATGAGTGAGAATATACGATGTTTGTTTTCCAATCCTGAGTTACTTCATTGAGGATAATAGTCTCCAGTTTCATCCAGATTACTGCAAATGCCATTAATTCATTCCTTTTTATGGCTGAGTAGTATTCCATGGTGTGTGTGTATATATATGTCACAGTTTCCTTATCCAATCATTGATTGATGTGCGTTTAGACTGGTTCCATATTTTTGCAATTGCAGTGTGAAGATTCCTTAAAGAACTAAAAGTAGAACTATGATTTGATCCAGGAATCTCACTACTGTGTATCTACCCAGAAAAAAGAAGTCATTCTTCGAAAAATTATTCTTACATGATATATGTACAACTAGCTTGTATAATTTTCCCTGTAGTTTACCATTTTCTATGTACTAACATCCCTAAACAAATTTTTAAAAATCAATTAAATATATATTGAGCAGCCACTTTGTTCAAGGACAGCTTTGCCATAAGGTACATAATAAAAGAACAGTTATAAGTCAATCAATGATTGAGTAAAATTTTAATTTTTCAGTATCAATTGCTTTATAGGAATGAGCATATATACACAGCTAATTTAAGCCCACTATGCATGAAACTAAACTAAAAAAGTATGAAAAGTGGAGCAAATTTAATGATGTTTATATATCACCAAGAGTTGATTCAGTGAAAAAACAAAATAGCAACAATTGTTTGGTATCTAAAACCTGAAATTTTGTCTATGTAAATAGTATATAGAGACAATCTATCTCTCTAAAATAATAGAAATATTGCCAAAGTACCACTATACTAGCTGTTGGTGTGTGGGAAATTCTTTTGGTTACTTGTTTCTGTGTTTAATTTTTTAAATATTAATTATTTCTATTATACATCAACTATTTATCATTACCTTATTTTTGTATCAACATGGTACCTTTTTTAAGGAACAAGGTCTCACTATGTCATCTAGGCTTTAGTGGAGTGGCACAATCATAGCTCATGTAACCTTCAACTCCTGGTTTCAAGCAATCCTCTCACCTCAGCCTCCCAAGTAACTAGGCTACAGGTATGGTAGCCATTATGCTCAGCTAATTCTTTTATTTTTATTTTTTTATTTTAATTCTTTTATTTTTATTTTTTATAAAGATGGGGTCTTGTTATGTTGCCCAGGCTGGTCTCAAACACCTGGCCTCAAGCAATCCATTGGTCCTGGCCTTCCAAAATGTTGAGATTACAGATGTGAGCCAATGTACCCAGCCCAATATGATACATCTTAATTAACACAATGTTATCTATCCTTTCTCCTTTCTTTGCTTCCTGTACTAGATGCAGACAAGTTCAGAGATGAAGGCAGGTATTCAAGTGGAGGATTTTAAAAGAAATTCACTATAAAATTCTGGGAGTTACAGGTACAAGAATTAGTAAGCTAATCATGGTCTTGTTTTTACTCTGACAGCTTTGCTACAGTCACTGCGTTCTCCACAAATGGAACTATGTACAGAATTTATGACAACTAAAGTGAATTTCCTGAGAAATGTAATTTTGGAGAAATTGAAGGATTTATGAAGAGATGATACTAACAGAGGCATAGCAATGTTGCATTTGAACTGATATAACAAGCTGATTATGAAGAGGCATAGTGGAAGAAAATGATATTCAGGGGAATAATAAAAAGTCATCTGTGACCAACTAAGTTGGTCTGAGTTCCACTTTAAATTTATTTCCAGAAATCTTTACTCTCCTGCTCCAATCCTGACTGGTTGCTTCCTATTTCCATTTTATGATTTCTTATTCTGGCACTTTCTTTTGATATTTACCTGGGAAATCTCCTCAGCTGTCTTCTCTATTGAAGCCCATGTTTCCAGAATCCTAGCTTCTTTACTGGTTTTCTCCTTATTTGAGAGTTTACATGCCTGAAATTTTCTTTGAATCTGTAGCATATTCGCAAGGGTCATTCAGTTTCTGCCTTGAAAGTTGCTCAAAATCTTGTCCCAAGAGGTATGTGTGCCTATCTGGGGTATTTGGGGACCTGGACAGGGAATGAGGGCTGGCAGGGATTGGGGGTGTATTTCTCTGGTAAATATATAGATTCCACTTAATCCACCTATTTTCAGCCCCATATCTCCTCTTGAATCTTTCTGTTCCCATTGTCTGTAAGACTAAATTCTTTGTGATTCATGTTCTATAGGGAATAAATCTAAAATCTGAGAATTTGGAAGGGAATGTTGAGACTTTTCAGGGTCTAACCACCTCTTACACAGAATTTCAAACAATTCTCTTAATTCCAGACCTGGGCTTTGCACTCACTTTCTGCAAAACCCAATTCTTGAGCCTTTGCAGCTTGGTTCTGTTTCCTCCTGAAGAAACACGTTCAGCTTCCTCTATTCTCCTGGGTGATCAAGCTTTCCATCCTCCAAAATACGTTAATGTTTCCTAACCCCCTGTGTCTTCTCTCCTGACATTTTGATTCCTTTAGGCCTATATGTTTTAAATATTATTATTGTCATATTAATAGCCATTCAGGAGAGAATAGACACGATACATCTATTCAATTCACCATGTCAAACTAGAAATCTCCATTTTTATTTAAAATCCTGTGGCATTTTTTTATTTTTTTATTAAGAAATGTTTTTTCAAAGATAATTTTGGCAGAAATATAAGTAATTAAGACATTATCTTTCTTTTTTAAAACATAGTGATTAAAATAAAGTAGCATTTTCACTCTTTGAGCTATTTTAAACTGAGCATTTTAAAGGACTAGTGGAAAAGCTCTAGTGGAAAAATATTCTAATGTATTTTTCTAATTATGGTTTCCTCTCTACTTCGCCCAATACCCCTCAGCATCCCCGCAACTTGGCCAACAGACTCACCAGCTATGAAAAAAAATGTGAACAGTATCCCAAAAGCTGAAGCCATCTTCCAAAGGGAGTTATTTCTATTTTTTTTTTCTTATCTTTGCCTCTATGTTTTCTTCCACTGTATAATAGGCCTAGTTATGGTATTTTACTTCTCTTGCTCTGCTCCATTAGCACTGGTGAGAAATCCCCTGCTCTCTTAGATGGTTGTATTTTTGGCTCATGAGCAACTTAAATAGAAGCATTTCCTGTTTGCACAGTTGAGGTGATAATGACTGAATTTTCTGGTTTGTGCTTTTATACATTTACTTATTTCAAGAGAAGCATGTATATTTGACCCAGGATTCAGATCCAATTGTAATTGATTGAGCTATGTCCCAGATACTGTCAGAATGATTCTTATGAGGCATGTATAGTTATATTTATTTTTATAGATAAGGAAGTAGAGATTCGAAAAGGTTAAGAAACTTATCCTAAGTCAATTAATGATACGGTAGAAGAATAACCAGCATAGAAAGAAAGACCTTTTCATAAGTAATTTTCCTTATCTTCTACTGCATTTTGTATGTGTGTCTATGTATATTTTTTGGTATTTTGTTGTGTGGCTTATGAGAGGAGTTACACACAATCTCTCCTTCCAGGGATATGCACTTTAACATAGAAATCACTGAGGCAGAAAGTATTTAAAAGTAACATGCTCAAAAAGATCATAATACAAATAATTCTTCACCTAAATTATTGTATTAGCCTCTTCTACTTCATAATATTTACTTAATATCTCTTTTCATCTCTGTTCAGTTTGTTTTTTTTGGCTAAAGCAATTTAGGATATGCTCTTTCCTTCTGCAAACTCAGGGTTGCTACATGGGTTGCAAAGGTAAAGATAAAGAGTGCTGACCAGTAGGCTGAAGTTTCTGCCCATAAATTCTCCTTACATCTTCCTGACCACACAATAATCCTGCCCTTGGATTTTCCTGTGCGTTCTCCCCACCCACTTCCAGTGGTTCATACTGGTTTCAGTTTGGCTAGACAAAAAGAATGGTTAGTGATAACTTTGTATGAAAAAGATGGATATAATTGTGCACATTTGTTAACTTTCTATACTACAGAGTTATCACCAGGATCAGATTCTTGTCTCCAGATAGATAATTCCTCAACACATTTGAAGGTGAATTTGGGATTTTTAGTGAAATAACAAAGAAATTCTATCCTCTATTTCTTGCCCACCCTCTATTTTGAGTTGATTTTTGTGTAGGCCATAAGATAGGGCCCAATTTTATTCTTTTGCCTAGGGTTATTCAGTTTCCCCAATATCAATTGTCAAAGAGACTGTTCTGTCCCCATTGTGTATTTTTGGAATCCTAGTTGAAGATCAGTTGACTATATATGCATGAATTTATTTCTGGGATCTCTATTCTGTTATGCTGGTCTATAGATGTCTTTATGCCAGTAGCATACTGTTTTAATTACTGTAGCCTGGTAGTATATTTTGATATAAGGAAGTGTAATGCCTCCAAGTTTATTCTTGGCTGTTTAAGGTCTTTTATGGTTTCATATGAATTTTATAATTGATTTTCTATTTCTGTAAAAATGTCATGGAATTTTGATAAGAATTGAATTGAATCTGTAGATCTTTGTAGTGTCTTAGCCTATTTTGCTGCTATGACAAAATACCACAGACTGAGTAATTTGCAAACAAAAGAAATTTATTTCTCACAGCTCTGAAGGCTGAGAACTTCAAGATCAAGGCACCAGTAGACTCAGTGTCTTATGAGTGCTACTATTTGCTTCAAAGACGATGCCTTCTTGCTAAATCCTCTGCAGAGTAAGTATGTTGTGTCTTCACATGACAGAAGGGACAAAGGGGGTCCCTGTCTGCCTCTTTATTAAGTCAGTAGTTCATTCATGAGGGTGAAGCCTTTATAGCTTAATCACTTCTGAGGGGCCCCCCTCTTAATGCTGTTGCATTGAGCATTAAGTTTCAACAAGAATTTTGGAGGGAACACAAACATGAAAACCATAACAGGTAGTATAAACATTGTAACAATATTAAGCCTTCCAATCCATGAACACAGAATGTCTTTCCATTTGTTTGTGTCTTCATTAATTTCTTTCATCAATGTTTTGTAATTTTCAGTGAACAAGTATTTCACTTGCTTAGTTAAGCTTATTCACAAGTATTTTTTGATGCTAATGTAAATAGGATTGTTTTCCTCATTTCCTTTACAGATAGTTTATTAGTATATAGAAATGCAACTGATTTTTGTATGTTGATGAAAATTCATAAATATGTGGAAATTAAATAATGCATTTTCAAACAAGTGGGTCAAAAAAAAATCAAAAGGGGATATAAAAAACACCTGACACAAACAACAATGAAAGTACAGCATACCAAAACTCCTGAGATACAGCAAAAATAGTGGTAAAAGGGAAGTTTATAGCAATGAATGCCTACATTAAAAAGAAGAAAAACCACAAATAAAAAACCTAACTCTATACCACAAGGAACTAGAATAATAAAAACAAATTAAACCCACAGTTATCAGAAGAAGGAAATAATACAGATTACAGCAGAAGGAAACAAGATAGAGAATAAAATAACAATAGAAAAACATCAATGAAACTCAGGTTGGCTTTTTGAAAGACAAAATTGACAAACCTTTAGCTAGACTAAGAAAAAAAGGAGAAAAGACAAATAAATAAATAAAATCAGAAATTAAAGGGGAAACATTCCAACTGTTGCCACAGAAATAAAAAGGTTACAGGAGACTACTGCAAACAATTTTATGCCAACAAGTTAGATAACTTATAAGAAATGGATACATTCTTAGAAACATATCACCTCCCAAGACTCAATCATGAAGAAATAGAAAGACTTATAACTAACAATAAGATTGAAACCAGAATCAGAAAACTCCCAACAAAGAAAGGCCCAGGACCTGATGCCTTCACTGGAAAGATTTACCTAACATCTAATAAATAATTTGTACCAATTGCTCTCAAATTCTTTCAAAATACTCAATAAGAAGGAACACTTTCAAACTCATTTTATGAGGCAAGCATTACCTTGATATCAAAACCAGAACAAGACACCACAAGAAAACAAAACTATAAGCCAATATCCTTGATAAAGATAGATGCAAAAATCTTCAATAAAATACTAACAAACTGGATTCAACAGCACATTAAAAGAATCATATACCATAACCATTTGGGATTTAACCCTGTGGTGCAAGGATGGTTCAACATACAAAAACCAATGTAATATACCAAATTAACAGTATGAAGGGTAAAAAAAAATCTCATGATTATCTCAATGGAGGCAAACAAAATTATTTGATGAAATTCCATGCTCTTTCACAATAAAAAGCTCTCAAGATTTTGTCACCACCAGGCCTGCCTTAAAAGAGCTCCTGAAGGAAGCACTAAACATGGAAAGAACAACCAGTACCAGCCACTGTAAAAACAGGCCAAATTGTAAAGACCATCAAGGCTAGGAAGAAACTGCATCAACTAACGAGCAAAATAACCAGCTAACATCATAATGACAGGACCAAATTCACACATAACAATACTAACCTTAAATGTAAATGGGCTAAATGCTCCAATTAAAAGGCACAGACTGGCAAATTGGATAAAGAGTCAAGACCCATCAGTGTGCTGTATTCAGGAAACACATCTCACGTGCAGAGACACACATAGGCTCAAAATAAAGGAATGGAGGAAGATCTATCAAGCAAATGGAAAACAAAAAAAAGGCAGGGGTTGCAATCCTAGTCTCGGATAAAACAGACGTTAAACCAACAAAGATCAAAAGAGACAAAGACGGCCATTACATAATGGTAAAGGGATCAATTCAACAAGAAGAACTAACTATCCTAAATATATATGCACCCAATACAGCAGCACCCAGATTCATAAAGCAAGTCCTGAGTGACCTACAAAGAGACTTAGACTGCCAGACAATAATAATGGGAGAAATTAACACCCTACCGTCAACATTAGGCAGATCAACAAGACAGAAAGTTAACAAGGATATCCAGGAATTGAACTCAGCTCTGCACCAAGCAGACCTAATAGACATCTACAGAGCTCTCCACCCCAAATCAACAGAATATACATTCTTCTCAGCACCACACCACACCTATTCCAAAATTGACCACATAGTTGGAAGTAAAGCTCTCCTCAGCAAATGTAAAAGAACAGAAATTATAACAAACTGTCTCTCAGACCACAGTGCAATCAAACTAGAACTCAGGATTAAGAAACTCACTCAAAACCGCTCAACTACACGGAAACTGAACAACCTGCTCCTGAATGACTACTGGGTACGTAACGAAATGAAGGCAGAAATAAAGATGTTCTTTGAAACCAACGAGAAGAAAGACACGACATACCAGAATCTCTGGGACACACTCAAAGCAGTGTGTAGAGGGAAATTTATAGCACTAAATGCCCACAAGAGAAAGCAGGAAAGATCTAAAATTGACACCCTAACATCACAATTAAAAGAACTAGAGAAGTGAGAGCAAACACATTCAAAAGCTAGCAGAAGGCAAGAAATAAATAAGATCAGAGCAGAACTGAAGGGGATAGAGACACAAAAAACCCTTCAAAAAATCAATGAATCCAGGAGCTGGTTTTTTGAAACGATCAACAAAATTGATAGAATGCTAGCAAGAATAATAAAGAAGAAAAGAGAGAAGAATCAAATAGATGCAATAAAAAATGATAAAGGGGATATCACCACCGATCCCACAGAAATACAAACTACCCTCAGAGAATACTGTAAACACCTCTAAGGAAATAAACTAGAAAATCTAGAAGAAATGGATAAATTCCTTGACACATACACCCTCCCAAGACTAAACCAGGAAGAAGTTGAATCTCTGAATAGACCAATAGCAGGCGCTGAAATTGAGGCAATAATCAATAGCTTACCAACCAAAAAGAGTCCAGGACCAGATGGCTTCACAGCCGAATTCTACCAGAGGTACAAGGAGGAGCTGGTACCATTCCTTCTGAAACTATTCCAATCAATGGAAAAAGAGGGAATCCTCCCTAACTCATTTTATGAGGCCAGCATCATCCTGATACCAAAGCCGGGCAGAGACACAACCAAAAAAGAGAATTTTAGACCAATATCCTTGATGAACATTGATGCAAAAATCCTCAATAAAATACTGGCAAACCGAATCCAGCAACACATCAAAAAGCTTATCCACCATGATCAAGTGGGCTTCATCCATGGGATGCAAGGCTGGTTCAACATACACAAATCAATAAACATAATCCAGCATATAAACAGAACCAAAAACAAAAATCACATGATTATCTCAATAGATGCAGAAAAGGCCTTTCACAAAATTCAACAACGCTTTATGCTAAAAACTCTCAATAAATTAGGTATTGATGGGATGTATCTCAAAATAATAAGAGCTATCTATGACAAACCCACAGCCAATATCATACTGAATGGGCAAAAACTGGAAGCATTCCCTTTGAAAACTGGCACAAGATAGGGATGCCCTCTCTCACCACTCCTATTCAACATAGTGTTGGAAGTCCTGGCCAGGGCAATTAGGCAGGAGAAGGAAATAAAGGGCAGTCAATTAGGAAAAGAGGAAGTCAAATTGTCCCTGTTTGTAGATGACATGATTATATATCTAGAAAACCCCATTGTCTCAGCCCAAAATCTCCTTAAGCTGATAAGCAACTTCAGCAAAGTCTCAGGATACAAAATCAATGTGCAAAAATCACAAGCATTCTTATACACCAATAACAGACAAACAGAGAGCCAAATCATGAGTGAACTCCCATTCACAATTGCTTCAAAGAGAATAAAATACCTAGGAATCCAACTACAAGGGATGTGAAGGACCTCTTCAAGGAGAACTACAAACCTCTGCTCAATGAAATAAAAGAGGATACAAACAAATGGAAGAACATTCCATGCTCTTGGATAGGAAGAATCAATATCGTGAAAATGGCCATACTGCCCAAGGTAATTTAGAGATTCAATGCCATCCCCATCAAGCTACCAATGAATTTCTTCACAGAATTGGAAAAAACTACTTTAAAGTTCATATGGAACCAAAAAAGAGCCCACATCGCCAAGTCAATCCTAAGCCAAAAGAACAAAGCTGGAGGCATCACACTACCTGACTTCAAACTATACTACAAGGCTACAGTAACCAAAACAGCATGGTACTGGTACCAAAACAGAGATATAGACCAATGGAACAGAACAGAGCCCGCAGAAATAATGCCGCATATCTACAACTATCTGATCTTTGACAAACCTGACAAAAACAAGCAATGGGAAAAGGATTCCCTATTTAATAAATGGTGCTGGGAAAACTGGCTAGCCATATGTAGAAAGCTGAAACTGGATCCCTTCCTTACACCTTATACAAAAATTAATTCAAGATGGATTAAAGACTTCAATGTTAGACCTAAAACCATAAAAACCCTAGAAGAAAACCTAGGCAATACCATTCAGGACATAGGCATGGGCAAGGACTTCATGTCTAAAACACCAACAGCAATGGCAACAAAAGCCAAAAATGACAAATGGGATCTCATTAAACTAAAGAGCTTCTGCACAGCAAAAGAAACTACAATCAGAGTGAACAGGCAACCTACAGAATGGGAGAAAATCTTTGCAACCTACTCAACTGACAAAGGGCTAATATCCAGAATCTACAATGAACTCAAACAAATTTACAAGAAAAAAACAAACAACCCCATCAAAAAGTGGGCAAAGGACATGAACAGACACTTCTCAAAAGAAGACATTTATGCAGCCAAAAGACACATGAAAAAATGCTCATCATCACTGGCCATCAGAGAAATGCAAATCAAAACCACAATGAGATACCATCTCACACCAGTTAGAATGGTGATCATTAAAAAGTCAGGAAACAACAGGTGCTGGAGAGGATGTGGAGAAATAGGAACACTTTTACAATGTTGGTGGGACTGTAAACTAGTTCCGCCATTGTGGAAATTGGTGTGGCGATTCCTCAGGGATCTAGAACTAGAAATACCATTTGACCCAGCCATCCCATTACTGGGTATATACCCAAAGGATTATAAATCATGCTGCTATAAAGACACATGCACATTATGTTTATTGTGGCACTATTCACAGCAGCAAAGACTTGGAACCAACTCAAATGTCCAACAAGAATAGACTGGATTAAGAAAATGTGGCACATATACACCATGGAATACTATGCAGCCATAAAAAATGATGAGTTCATGTCCTTTGTAGGGGCATGGATGAAGCTGGAAACCATCATTCTCAGCAAACTATCGCAAGGACAAAAAAAACAAACACTGCATGTTCTCACTCATAGGTGGGAATTGAACAATGAGAACACATGGACACAGGAAGGGGAACATCACACACCGGGGACTGTTGTGGGGTGGCGGGAGGGTGGAGGGATAGCATTAGGAGATATACCTAATGCTAAATGATGAGGTAATGGGTGCAGCACACCAATATGGCACATATATACATATGTAACAAACCTGCACATTGTGAACATGCACCCTAAAACTTAAAGTATAATAATAATAAAATAAAAAATAAAAAAATTTAAAAAATCTCTCAACAAATTAGGTATAGAAGGAATGTACCTCAACATAATAAAGATCATAAAGAAAAGTCCTGAGCTAACATCATACTTAACAGTGATTAACTGAAGTCTTTTCCACTAAGATCGGGAAGAAGACGAGAATGTCCACACTCATTGCTTCTATACAGTGTAATACTAGAAGTCCTAGCCTGAGTAATTAGGCAAGAAAAAGAAATAAAAGACATATGAATCAGAAAGGAAGAAGTAAAATTGTACCTGTTTGCAGATGACATGATTTTATATATTTAAAAAAACTCTAGAGATTACACACGTACCAAAAAAAACCTGTTAGAGCTAATAAATGAATAGAATAAAGTTGCAGGATACAAAATCAGCATACCTCCTCCACCCTCAAATGCATGAATTGTGACTTTTAGTAATATTTGCTCCAAACCAATAGTCATAGTGATAATCTCTTTACATAAAACGGGATCTGTGATGGTAAATTTATAGCTGGGAGAAAAGTGTTAGCTGCTATAACGAATTAAAAGAAATGGAAAGGCAATACATTTGTTATGGATTGAATTGTGTTCCCCTAAAATTTACATGTTGAAGTCTTAGCCCCTAATACTTCAGACAGGGTCACTTCAGGGAAAATCAAGTTAAAATGAAGTCACTAGGGTGGGCCGTAGTCCAGTATGACTGGAATCCTTATATAAAGAGGGAATTTGGAGACAGACATAAACACAAGACAACTTCTCCAACCTAGCAAGACAGGCCAACATTCAAATTCAGGAAATACAGAGAATACCACAAAGATACTTCTCAAGAAGAGCAACCTCAAGCCTCAAGACACATAATCATCAGATTCACCAAGGTTGAAATGAAGGAAAAAATGTTAAGGGCAACCAGAGAGAAAGGTCAGGTTACCCACAAACGGAAGCCCATCAGACTAACAGTGGCTCTTTTGGCAGAAATCCTAAAAGCCAGACGAGATTCAGGGTCAATATTTAACATTCTTAAAGAAAAGAATTTTCAACTCAGAATTTCATGTCCAGCCAAACTAAGCTTCATAAGTGAAGGAGAAATAAAATCCTTTACAGACAAGCAAATGCTGAGAGATTTTATCACCACCAGGCCTGCCTTACAAGAGTTCCTGAAGGAAGCACTAAATATGGAAAGAAAAACTGGGACCAGCCACTGCAAAAACATACCAAATTGTAAAGACACAACATATTAGTATCTCTGGGACACAGCTAAAGCAGTGTTAAGAGGGAAATTAATAGCACTAAATGTCCACAGGAAGAAAGCAGGAAAGGTCTAAAATCAACACCCTAACACCACAATTAAATAACTAGAGAAGCAAGAGCAAACAAATTCAAGAGCTAGCAGAAGACAAGAAATAACTAAGATCAGAGCAGAACTGAAGGACATAGAGACACAAAAAACCCTTCAGAAAATCAATGAATCCAGGCCAGGCACACTGGCTCATCCCTGTAATCTCAGCACTTTGGGAGGCCAAGGTAGGCAGATCATGAGGTCAAGAGATCAAGACCATCCTGGCCAACATGGTGAAACCCTGTCTCTACTAAAAATACAAAAATTAACTGGGCATGGTGGTGTGTGCCTGTAGTCCCAGCTACTCAGGAGGCTGAGACAGGAGAATCGCTGTAACCCAGGAGGTGGAGGTTGCAGTGAGCCAATATCATGCCACTGCATTCCAGCCTGGTGAGAGAGTGAGACTGTCAAAAAAAAAAAAAAAAAAAAAAAAAGAATCCAGGAGCTGGTTTTTTGAAAAGATTAACAAAATAAAGAATAAAAGAGAGAAGACTCAAATACATACACAAAAAAAAAATGATAAAGGGGATATCACCATTGATTCCACAGAAATACAAACTACCATCAGAGAATACTATAAACACCTCCACACAAATAAACTAGAATATCTAGAAGAAATAGATAAATTCCTGGACACATAGACCCTCCCAAGACTAAACCAGAAAGAAGTCGAATCCCTGAATAAACCAATAACAAGTTCTGAAATTGAGGCAGTAATTAATATCCTACCAACCAAAACATGCCCAGGACCAGCCAGATTCACAGCCAAATTCTACCAAAGGCACAAAGAGGAGCTGGAACCATTCCTTCTGAAACTATTCCAAACAATAAAAAAAAGAGCAACTCCTCCCTAACTCATTTTATGAGGCCAGCATCATCCTGACACCAAAACCTGGCAGAGACACAACAAAAATGAAAATTCCAGGCCAATATCCCTGATTAACATCGGTGCTAAAAATCCTCAATAAAATACTGGCAAACTGAATCCAGCAGCAGCACATCAAAAAGCTTATCCACCACGATCAAGTCAGCTTCATCCCTGGGATGCAAGGTTGGTTCAACATAAGCAAATCAATAAACGTAATCCATCACATAAACAGAACCAATGACAAAAACCACATGATTATCTCAATAGATGCAGAAAAGGCCTTTGATAAAATTCAATACCCCTTCATGCTAAAAACTCTCAATAAACTAGGTATTAATGGAACGTATCTCAAAATAATAAAAGCTATTTATGACAAACCCACAGCCAATATCATACTGAATGGGAAAAAGCTGGGAGCATTCCCTTTGAAAACCAGCACAAGACAAGGATGCCCTCTCTCATCACTCCTATTCAACATAGTATTGGAAGTTCGGGCCAGGACAATCAGGCAAGAGAAAGAAATAAACCGTATTCAAATAGGAAGAGAGGAAGTCTAATTGTCTCCATTTGCAGATGACATGATTGTCTATTTAGAAAACTCCCATCGTCCCAGCCGAAAATCTCCTTAAGCTGATAAGCAACTTCAGCAAAGTCTTAGGATACAAAATCAATGTGCAAAAATCACAAGCATTCCTATACATCAATAATAGACAAACACAGAGCCAAATCATGAGTGAACTCCTATTCACAATTGCTACAAAGAGAATAAAATACCTAGGAATACAACTTACAAGGGATGTGAAGGACCTCTTCAAGGAGAACTATAAACGACTGCTCAAGGAAATAAGAGAGGACACAAACATATGGAAAAAGATTCCACGCTCATGGATAGGAAGAATCAATAGCATGAAAATGGCCATACTGCCCAAAGTAATTTATAGATTCAATGCTATCTCCCTCAGGCTACCATTGACTTTCTTCACAGAATTGGAAAAAAGCTACTTTAAATTTCATATGGAACCAAAAAAGAGCCCATACAACGAAGACAATCCTAAGCAAAAAGAACAAAGCTGGAGTCATCACGCTACCTGAATTCAAACTATACTATAAGGCTACAGTAACCAAAACAGCATGGTACTGGTACTAAAACAGATATATAGACCAATGGAACAGAACAGAGGCCTCAGAAATAATGCCTCACATCTACAACCATCTGATTTTTGACAAACCTGACAAAAACAAGCAATGGGGAAAGGATTCCCTATTTAATAAATGGTGCTAGGAAAACTGGCCAGCCATATGCAGAAAACTGAAACGGGACCCCTTTCCTACACCTTATACAAAAATTAACTCAAGATGGATTAAAGACTTAAACCTAAGACCTAAAACCATAAAACCCTAGAAGAAAACCTACACAATAACATTCAGGACATAGGCATGGGCAAAGACTTCATGACTAGAATACCAAAAACAAGGGCAACAAAAGCCAAAATTGACAAATGGGATCTAATTCAACTAAAGAACTTCTGCACAGCAAAAGAAACTATCATAAGGGTGAACAGGCAACCTACAGAATGGGAGAAAATTTTTGCAATCTACTCATCTGACAAAGGGCTAATATCCAGAATCTACAAGGAACTTAAACAAATTTACAAGAAAAAAAAAACCCATCGAAAAGTGGGCAAAGGATATGAACAGATGCTTCTCAAAAGAAGACATTTATGCTGCCAACAAACATATGAAAAAAAGCTCATCGTCACTCGTCATCAGAAAAATGCAAATCAAAACCACAATGAGATACCATCTCACGCCAGTTAGAATGGCGATCATTAAAGTCAGGAAACAACAGGTGCTGGAGAGGATGTGGAGAAATAGGAATGCTTTTACACTGTTGGTGGGAGTGTAAATTAGTTCAACCATTGTGGAAGACAGTGTGGCAATTCCTCAAGGATCTAGAACTACAAATACCATTTGACCCAGCAATCCCATTACTGGGTATACACCCAAAGGATTATAAATCATTCTACTTTAAAGACACATGCGCTCGTATGTTTATTGCAGCACTGTTCACAATAGCAAAGACTTGGAACCAACTCAAGTGCCTATCAATGATAGACTGGATAAAGAAAATGTAGCACATATACACCATGGAATACTATGCAGCCATAAAAAATGAGTTCATGTCCTTTGCAGGGACATGGATGAAGCTGGAAACCATCATTCTCAGCAAACTAACACAGGAACAGAAAACCAAACACCGCATGTTCTCACTCATAAGTAGGAGTTGAACAATGAGAACATATGGGCACAGGGAGGGGAACATCACACACTGGGGCCTTTTGGTGGGTGGGGAGCTAGGGGAGGGAGAGCATTAGGAGAAACACCTAATGTAGATGATGGGTTGATGGGTGCAGCAAACCACCATGGCACGTGTATACCTATGTAACAAACCTGCACCTTCTCCACATGTATCCCAGGACTTAATATACCTAATGCTAGATGACGAGTTAGTGGGTGCAGCGCACCAGCATGGCACATGTATACATATGTAACTAACCTGCACAATGTGCACATGTACCCTAAAACTTAAAGTATAATTAAAAAAAAAAAAATAAATAAATAAATAAAATAAAGTATAATAATAATAAATGAAACTAATCTGAAATTAAAAGTTTACTTTAAAAAAAATTAAAAAAAGAAAAGAAACAAAGATTGGCAAGTTCTTTAAAAGTGAAACATCTACATATCATCTGATCTAGCCAATCCACTCATCAGTATTTGCTCAGGAAAAATAAAAATATATGTCAACAAAAATACTTGCAAAATAATGTGTATAGCAGCTTTATTTCTAATAACCCAAAACTGGAAACAACACAAATGTCCACCAACAGGCAAACAGATAAACAAACTGGTATAGCTATAAAATTAAATACTATTTGGAATAAAAAGAATGCAGTATCATTGTGTGGATGTGGATGTATCTCAAAATAATTATAATGAGAAAAAAAGTCCAACCAAAAAAATAAAAGAGTGTCTATTGTGATGATATTTACATGATTTTATTTATGGAAAATTCTAAAAAATGCTAACTAATACATAGTTACAGAAAGCAGATCAGAGGTTGCCTGGGGAGCGGGGGATGAGGAGGAACAAGAAGTTTGTAGGGATAGGCTCACAAAGAAACAAGAAAATTTTGGGGGGTGATGGACAAGTTTATTATCTTGATTATGCTGATGGTTTCACAGATGTAAAACTATGTCAACATTTACCAAAGTCCACATTTTAAATATGTGCAAAATTTAACAAACTGTACACTTAAATATATCAATTATATCTCAGTAAAGCCGTTTTCAGAAGTTTGTAAGTGAAGCATAACCCCAATAGATATTTAGTTATGATGAATTACTTTCAAATTATTAGAGATATTGAAAGAGAGAGAGACAGAGAAAGAGAGAGAAAATTGACAAATCTAGCAAAGCAAAGGAAAAGATACAAAATGGGATGGGGAGAAAGCACAGTAAATGAGACATATAAAATGTTATTTGTAAAATGTAATCGACTATGTAAGTAATCACACCTAACTCCGTCTCAGCCTCTGCTTCCTGGATGACCTTGCTGACACGCCAGGTCTAATCTCTAGATTCTCTAATTTGACAGGTCTAGCGTGGATTTGGAGAATATATATAATTTTTTATATCATTCTAATGTTCAACCATGTTCCAGCCCCATAGTAGAGATTTTCATACAATTATTTTCTGTACAATATAATTTAACTTCTATAAATTATCTTGAAGTCTTTTCTATGATGTCATTTAACATGCCTGTTTTGACATTATCAAGTTAAGAGGTAAGCATAGTACTGTCTTACTTTGTTTTTCAGTAATATTTAAACAGATAGTCTTGAACCTAACTATGAGCCTCAGCTCAACCAGGGTTGGATGAAGAATTAATAAATTTCAAGGACAGTGTAATGATGTCTATTGTGAACATTGCTTGGTAATATTTATATGCAGAAACCTAATGGACACTGCTTTTTGGTCAAGTCAAAATGGCTTGATCAAAATATCATGTGCCAAGTGTCATTAGATTAGCTTTACATCCAAAATAGACTAAAAGTCCCTTTGAGGACAAAATCCATAGTAACTGAAATGTCTAGAGGGAGAAAAATATACTTATAAGACAAAATAGCTGTCTTAAAAATCTCAGATGGTATGATTGAAGAATGAATATATTTTGTTTCAATTTCTATCATGATGAAAAAACTTCTCATGTTTTTTCTGCTATGGAGCAAATAGACTTATGTTTTTAATTAAAAATAATTTCATGATATTAACAATGATTTACATAAACATTGCCAATATTTTGCTCCACAAAAATATGGAGGGGAGGGTCATGCCATCCCATGGCCACTTGCTTATTATGTAGCTCATAGTTTGTAAATAAATACCCCATGTCCTCTATGGTGCATTTTTCGCCACTTATATGGTCAATAGACATTAATTATTCAATAAATATATCACAATAGAATGTACACCATAAAAATACACAATTCCAATGTAGCACATCTGCAAAACTGTTAGGCATCAAGTATCAACACCTCTGTGGAGATATAATGAGTTCAGAAGAAGCTAATGTTCTCACACGTGCATTCACTCTCTTACAAACATGACCAAAAATATAAATCCATTTTTATTAAATAGTATAATTCTTATTATAATCTCACATCATATTTAATCTGGTTGATTAAAAAGAGAAAGTGGCAACTGTAGAAGCAGGAATAGTACAGTTATTAAAATAGAAATTTAGGGAAAGGCACATTTAAACAATGTTGGAGGGAATTTGACATATATATTTGACACAATTTAACATATATATCAATAGTAAAATGCACAAACCCTTTGACCTGACAATTCCACTCAAGAAAGTTATCCTACAGATATACTCAAAAACAAAGAGATATATGCACAAGAAACATTCTATGTGGTATTGTTTATACCACAAACAAAACTTAAAAGAAATAAACAAAACTTAAAAGAATCTAAATATCCATCATTAGGGTTGTTTTTAATTAAATAATGATATAACTATACAATGGAATTTTATATAACCATTAAAAAGAATGAGGTAGCTCTACTTGTCATGATATAAAATGATCTCTAAGACTTATATTATTAGGTTTTCATATGTATAGAACAGTAATGCAGTGTATTGTTCCCACTGGTGCCTTGACAAAGATATGTGCATGTATATGTAAGGGGACACATAAATTGACACATATACCATAGGCATATACACATGTCATATGTACATTAAAATATTCTGAAAGGATACACAAGAAACTGTTCACACTTGCTCCTTCTTCAGTTATTTCTTGAGGAAATTTGGTTTTCATTATTTACTGTCCTGCACAATTTGAATATTTGGTCATGGGCATGTATTTTCTTTGTAATAACATCAGTTCTTCAGAGAACTAGCTGGTAGCAGCTAAGAATCAAAAATTCCAATTATACAAGGGTATGAATGAGAATCCATTAAAATGTCTTCTAAGAACCTTGGAAAACCTAATTTCAATATAAGTCTTCATTCTAGAACTGTAAGAAAATCAGACAGTAATTATAATGTATCTCGTTTGTTGTTGTTTCTTGGTACTAGAGTCCAACAACTTATAAAGTATGGAGGTCTGTGTCAACTTCACTTTGTAATGCCTCAGATGCCTTCACCTTGTTTGTAGTATCATAGAGAGGATTGTTCTTCTCTGTGTAGCTGGCATAGGGCTGCATTTCATCCTAAGAAAGAACTCAAAGTTAAAATCAATTCAAAAAATCATCATAGAGACTATCTGTATTTTTGTAACAGTTGCCCATAGCTTTAGTATTTCTAACAGGTGCTCAAGAGTGCTTATAATTGTGTTTCTGGGCCTATATAAACATAAGAGCAGGATTTGTTCTAACATTTTATCAAAAAGTATTTGTTAACTACATAAGTCTCTGTGTGGAGATAATGGCTCTGTGCAAGTAGGAATGGAGATGAATGAAGTGATATGAGTACTCCAAAGGAGAGCTTTGGAGACTTAGTAAGCTACTTATAATAAGAGATGAAGGAGCAGGATATGTTTTAAGTTTGTGTAAGAGAAAAATAATGATAGTATTGAAAAGGAAAAGTCAGGAATTAGAGATGCTTTCAAATTGGTGACAAGAAACACCAATTCATTTCCTCAAAAGATTACAGTCTAAAGGAGCCAAACATCATATGTGTTAGGATATAGTTCATGAAGTGAAAATGTGGTTCAGAGTGATGATGTATAAATAGTATTTGATAGATAATTAACAAAGTAATCACACATATAAGCACTGCAAGTCAGAACTGTTTTAGTTTTTCAACTGAAACACTAATATTGATACAAACTACAAATTATGTTGCTAGATTTTCAGACTATTGGCTTAAGTTTGCAATTAGTCTTTTTTATCTTATCTTACCTCCTCAACAACTGGAGTAGATTCTGTTTTATTCAATTTATATTTTCTATAAAAATAAAATAAATTGAAGTGAATGGAGGAAACATCATTGTTTAGATCGAAAATGGGAAAATAAGACAGTATACTATTGACAATTGTGTTTAATTTTGATAGAAGCCATAATAAATCAGAAAGAAACTACTAGAAATAAGTGAAGAATACTGCTCGTGGTTAATATCCCCAACTAAGAATATTCCGGATTTTGAAAAAGTGAAATTATGCAATAGAAGCTTGATGCAATTGAATGCATGTAACATCTCCTCTTTGGTGCATGAAGGAATTGTAATTATTTACCCAAATGTGAAAATTAACATGCACTTTCTCTCCCAAGATCCTACCCTAAATGGCCTAATTTTCCATGCTTCTATGCCAAAGCAACCTAGCAAAGTCTCTCTCATCATTCAAAGTAGTCCAAGTCTATCTAACACCTTCAAGATTTGATTATGGGAGATTTGATGTTAACATCCTAATATACCCAATACGGTCAGTTCCATATTTCTGACTCTTTTCTAGCCTAATAAAGCTGAAGAAGAAAAAAACATTCATTAGTCAATACCTGCAGCCATTGACTTTCAACAACCAAATGAATCCCACGATGGTCAAAATAATAATAGTAAGGATGATATATGGAATATATAATTTTGCTGATTTTTTGGCACCTGGAACTATAGACACAAAAATATATGGTTCAAATGTGGTACAATCCAAATAATGTACTATCTTATTATTCAATGTTAAAAAGAAATGAGCTATCAAACCATAAAAAGACATAGAGGAATTTCAAATGTATGTTACTAAGTGAAACATGCCAATCTGGAAATGTTACATATTGTATGATTCCAATTGTAAGACATTACGGAAAAGATAAAACTAGGGGAATAGTCAATAAATTATTGATTATCTGGTGGTGAGGAAGGAGGGAGGAATAGAAAGAGCAAGGAGGATTGTGTAGGACAATAAAACTGTTCCATATAATACTGTACTGGTGGATACATGTCATTACACATTTGTCCAAACCCATGGAATGTACAACACCAAGAATGAACTCTAATGTAAAGTATGGACTTTGGGTGGTAATGTTGTATCAATGGAGGTTCAACAGTTCTAATAAATGTAACACTCTGGTGCAGGTGTAGGTGGGAGAGGTTGGACATGGGCGAAGGCAGGGCTTATATGGGAAATTTCTGTACTTTCCACTCAATTTTGCGGTGAACCTAAAACTGCTCTAAAAATTAATGTCTACTAAAAATAAAGTTATCTATATTTATATCCATATCTATCTATATAGATCATTCAATAATGTCTCACAATACATGAAATTCATATCTGTAGTTTCATTTTCAACACTTCTGCCCCATTAATAGTTTGAGAATTATTAAAATAAAACTGCTTTTTCAATACAGACTCCAGAGTTTTCAGCAAGACATCACCTTATATCAGGGTTTTGTTGCTTTAAAGATTCATTGGTGGTGAATTCCTACCACTCTGTTATAGCAGAGTGTTTCTCCCCTCCAACTAAATGGGCAATTGTAAGGAAGATACTTGGAAAAGTAACCCTAATTCTGAAGTCATCTTTCTCCCAGGGCATTGAAACTGAAATGAATACACAGCAGGAACTTTATTTATTAGCTGCTGGCAGCAATACAAAACTCTATCTGACAAGCGTGCAAATCAACCAAGGAATTGCCAGCCTGAGAGGCAACGATTTGCAAACTATGCTCCTGGTGTTGCATGAATATAGCTCAGGGGCAGCAGAGGAGATGAAGTGGAGACTGAGCAGGCTGGCCTCTGGTCCTTCCACCTTTCTTCCACAGTTGATGTTTTTAAATACTGAATTTCTCCATATGTTATATGAAAATTAAATGTTTGGTTACATTGTTTAAAACAACATTTTTTAAAACCCTTGCTTTCAAACTACTAAGCTCTCTCTCATTAAATTTGTACTAGCAGAAGCTGAAGATCCACCGTGCAAGGAAGACATCAAGGAGATCCCTGCTGTACATAGGAATTTGAATGAGAATTTCCCTTCAATTCTGAGACACTATAAATCTGACATCATATAGTAATATGAAAGGTGATATTTCACACATAACCAAGGCACAACTTCTCTTTTCAGTAAATATTGCTAAACTCAAAAAAACCTACACATATGACTTAAATGATAGATATAAATAAAGGTGGTTTCAACACATGAGATTTTCTCTTCTCCCTCATTAAAACTTACTAAAATGTTGGTAAAAATAATTTTTTTTTTAGTGTAGATCTGCAAAGACAAAGAGAAGAGGATGAAGACAAGAACAGATGAAAGATTTCGAACTGTTTTTAAGTGAGAAATGAATAGAAAACTCGCTAATGATTTACAACATAGAATAAATACAAACCTTAGTATACACAAAACTCCAGGAAAACTCTAGAGTAGGAAGCATCAAATATAGAAGAAGAAGTATGTGGAGGGGTGAAGTGTGGGGCTAAAAGTTGAGAGCTTCTTTGAAATTTTGTCTTGAGAACAGGCAGGTTCCCTTGTCTCCTGCTCCATTTTATGTAGCACACCTTTCCCAACTAGCAGAAAAAGGGGAGATTGGCAGATTGGTCCAAAGAAGATGAACTGGAGAGACTCCAAAGTCAAGGATCCAGACATCAGGGAGGGTGAGAATGAAATACCAGACTGAAGAGAGGTATAAAAGGAAGTCTGATTCTCAACAGTGGCACACTCACATGCACACTCACACACATACACATATTGCTCCCTCCTTTCCCAAACACTGGTAGTCAGGCTTATCTCTCCAAGGCCAGAAACTGCTGAGTTAATTTCTGCAGAGCCTGAACAGCCCCAGAGAAAAGGCCTTCAGATACATAACAAATCTCTAGTTATTAAAAAATCACAGCTTCTTTTCACTGAACTGAAGCTAACTAGTTGACAAATCCAACCATTAACTAGTTGAGCTTCCAAGTAGCTCATATAGTACTCACTTCAAAATGAATCCATACCCAAGGATTACCAAAGAGTGAAGAAAAGTCTCATATATGAAAGAAAGAGTTAAAAACAAACAAATGTATAGAAGACAGAAGAAACTCAGATTAAATAGACACAGGCTAAGTAGAGGACTGAGGCAATGAGAGTGTCCAGGACAATAGCTGTACAGCAGATCTAGAGGCCAATCAGGAGAGATTAGACCAAACACATACCAAAACTCAAGAAGGAATGACTTTGAGAAAAAATAGAACTAACAGATTACCTAATAAATCTGACCATGTAGAAAATATTACTAAGGGGTTCTCTAGTTTTGTCAATAGGCTTAGTGATAGTTCACGATAGGTACATACATTCTTAAGGAAACAAAAAAGGTAAAGCACTTATGAAGTCCAAGGAAAAAAAGTCATTTGAAAGAGAAAGCATGAGTGTATTTCTTGATTCAGCACTTAACAGTACTTAAATATTCAAATTGATGGGAACATAGGCTATTTAATGAAAAATTGCATTACCTCAACTAAAGTTTGAAGGAAAGGAAGAAGGTAATGTGAAATCCTCATCTACCATAAGAAGTTGTGATTACATAATGTCTAAATTTGATACAGTAAGAAATAGCAGTATGAGCATGTTGTATAAAAATGGCACTAATTACCAGAAGAAACACTGGAAAATTTGAAAGTACCTACCTGTGGGGAGTTTAATGGAGATGGCAATTGGGTTGGAAAGACAGGGGTAGAGCTAATGTTTTTCAGGAAGCCTTACAGAACAATTGCACTTTAAATATGTTTGTTGATATTTAATAGTTTTTAAATAACAAGAAATGAGAGTAGGATGAGAGCAGAGAGTAAATAAACTAAACAGTGATTAAATGAATCATAGATGTTATTATAAGACATTTAAGAAATTCAATGATGAAAAGTCCAGAAAACAAAATTACAACAAACTAAAAATTCATAAAAGCAACTTTGAGTAAATGTATCCTTCTAATAGAACCATAATTACATGCTTCAAAGTATACTTTATCTTTCAATAAGCCATAAGTATTATTTTTAAAAGTATACTACTCATGCTAATTAACTACTAGCATAGAAGTGAACATTAATAGTAGAATTAAACTGCATTCTAAAAAAGGGCTTTTTACAACAAATGTCTGTACTATTCTCCTCAACTCATCTCTTTATTTTGGTCAGGGAAGAGATAAAAATGAAGAGTGGGGAGAGCATCCTCGAACAAAATATATTTGCACATCTTTTTTTTTCTTAACTCTTTTAAAAGAATGGAAAAAAATAAAAAATAAAACTAAAAGAATTACTGACCAGGAAGTAGCTCTATGTACAGACTCTTGTTGCCAGTCAAATGGGAGACGTGGCAGGTCACGGTAGACACATTGTGGACCTCCCAGTGGCATGTACTCTTAACAGTCACTGTGCCATTGCTCCAGTATTCTTGCTTAGTGGCACAATCGCCCTCTGGGATCCAGGAGATATGCGCAGCTGGCTTCCCTGCAACTGCCTTGCATACTGCAGTTCTATTCCTGTTTTGAAACAGGGTCACTTCAGGTGTAACTGCAGAGAGGAAAGAGGGAAAAAAATGCTTCGGTTTTCACATAAAGCATATGGAATTCAGAGAGACATTTGTTTCCGTCACAAATCTGGTGATGTGAAATACCTCAATATATGATGCTCCTTACCTAACACTTGGAGGTGATATCCACGATGGAAATTCCCATCAGGTGTTACCATTATGCATCTGTAATACCCGTCATGAGTGATGGCCACGGTACGAATCTGAAGGTCCGAATTCTGATCAGGTCTGGAGACCCAGGTTATTCTCTCATCAGTACAGTTGGTTTCCTTGGTCTCATTTGTTTCTTTCTTGTAGGCTTTTGTGCAGGAAGGCTGGCCTCTCAGGATTATTTCCCATGTTATTATGATCAAATTTCTTAATGCGATAGGAGGGCAACAAAGCACAGCATTTGTAGCCATCTTTACAGGCCATGAAGTGTTAACTGGACATGAAAAGAGAATGATAAAAGAAAAGCTTGATAAAGAACTTCATGTGTTACATTTATCCACAACATATGAAGTTACACTAGAACATAACTTTGTTGGTGATCTTATTCCAAAAATATTAGACCTTCATAAAAAATTAAAATTCTCAAAATATAAATAATATATTGAACCCAATCTAGAGATTAACCAATTTTCTCCTGTATTATGTATTATTAGAAATATGATATATAATAAAGTATTTTTTATATTAATGGAGAAGTTTTAATATCTAGAAACAAAGAGAATTGTAAATTAAACAACAAAGGCAATGTTCTACATCTAATCTTTAGGTGGTGGAGACTATTGCCTTTATCATACAATGTATGTGCCACAGGAAAGAAAATGGAACAATTAGTGATGTGGCTGTCTCCTCCTCAGCTTTGGTGAGCACAAAAAAGTCTATCTCTAAGGTTTTTGTTTCAGACAAACATAAATGTGGTATGTATTAATATATAGTGCTTTCTTTTAAAGTAACTAATATGGCATTTGGGTTGAACTAGCTAGAAATTTTTTTAAGTTCTTTTTTTTAAAAAGAATCACAAAGTCAGTGAAACCCACAGATCTTTAAAAAAAAAAAAACTATTATTCCACCAGTTGAGCCATCCCATAAAAATGAAAAATGATAATGCCCTGTGATAAGAGATGCTTAGAAATATTTATTTCTTGTGAAAATATAGTGTGATATATAATTTTTAAAAAACGATTTATTTCCCTTTAGACATTTTTTATTAAAAATATTTTATTGCAAATTTATGACATTATCAAATGTAGCCTTTGGATGAGTTTTCATTCCTTCCTATTTAGTCACACATACACTTTCAGATAGTTCAGCTGTGAACTTAGCTCACAGATTTTATTTCTGTATATTCAATCCAATTATCAACACTAAAGGCGTAAGTTGATCCCTGTTGTCCATCATTTAAAGGAAAAATTAAGCCCTGCATCCTACAAGCATCTTCCAACGTAGAACCTCATGCATCCCATAAATCGACACAATGTGTCAGTGACTTGGTAAGGGTTTACTGAGAGGTGATTAGTCCACCAAAGTATTTGTCACTACTCACCTCTAACAAAGGTAAGTGTCAGTGATTTCATCACTATAGCATAAGCAGAATCAGCTATAGAGGGGCAAACCTTTATGTGGGTGAAGGATGTTTTTGCTAAACCCTGCATTTAACATCTTTCCTATCCTGTTTTGGTGTCACCTGTCTCTTACATGGTTTGTACTCTAGCCCTTGCATTTCACAGCAAATTAATAAGTACATAACTAGATGAAGAAAGAGGTAATACTTTAACATAGATCTGAGAGGTAGTTAAATCCATGCTCCTTCCGCCACTCCACCTTAGCAAAGGTTCAGAGACAAGCAAGAACATGGCTTGTTTGGAGAACAACTAGAGGTTGGGTCATTCAGGATCCCTCATACCACAGTACTCAGATCACCAAGTTCTTCAAGTAGTCATAAGGCTGGCTTCCAGTCAGGTCATTAGCTAATATTTCTAAGGAAGTTCAACTTTCCATCCCTAGGTGCTGGCCACTAGTAAGGAAGCATATTACCTTCTGCGAGTACTTTCGAGTAGTTCTGTGTAATCTGTTTTTCATCCATACATAAACTGCTTGAAGCTAGAAAATATTTAGAGAAGAATAAATGAAATCAATTTTATGTACTCAGAGTGGAAGCCAGTATCCCTCCACAAAGTCTTATCCAACATGATAGGCAATCAGTTAACCATAATTAAAATTACACAAAAATCATTGTAAAACAGAAATTAGAAGTCATGCCATCATTAGGGGACTAAATGTGTTAATATCCTGAAAATTATACTTAAGTAATCAATAATTTCTCTTTCGTGATACACCTTGTTTTGAAATATTTTGAAAAAGATAAACCTGCCTCTACTGCATCCTTCTTCCTCAGCCAGGGAGATTGGTCTACGTGAGCATCTCACATGAGCTGGTCCAATTATATCCCTTTCTTCAGCTACCACTTCCCAATCAAAGTTATTTGGTCCAATGTTGGGCACTTCACCCAGGTTAATACAGCAGTGCCCTTTCTCAAGAATTTTAGAAGCAAAACTGAGAAGGGGCCATCCATCTCTGTTGCTTTCTCATTTTGTTTTCTACTTATTAGAGTACAAAGGGAAAAATATAGCAGAAGCAAATGTCAGCAAGATGGCTGACTAGAGGCCCCTGGTGCACATCTCCTCCAAAAGAAAGGACCAAGCAATAGACAGCTAAGATTCTACTGGAGTATCAAAGGGAGAGTGCAGGAGTGCAGAAAAGTAGTGGAGAGGAGCTCGTGGTCATCAGAAGCTCAGGAGGGAAGCATAAAAGCACCCTGCCTCTGGCACCCCATCCTTCCACATCCTCTTCCTGGATTGGCCCAGGCTCAGGAGGGACTTCCTCTTGCAGGGAAAACATAAGCAGAAGAACCCCACCAGCCCCTATAGCTACTGAAAAGAGTTATTTCAAGAGAATTTCACAGTCCTCACAAGCCCTGAGCCCAGTGTGGAGTGCTACCAGGAATTCATACAGCTGCACTGCTCCAGATAAGGGGCACAATGTGTACACCTGCTACCTCCCACCCACCCTCTGTGAGCCAAGCTGCTGCAGCAAGGGGCCACCATGGACTAGAGCCACTTTTGAAGTACACCGTGTCCTGGGGACTAGTAGCCACTGTACCTCTCCAGCCCACCAGCTGGCTATACATTTGCTGCATGGAGCCTGGGCTCAGGATTGGCTGTGACTCTGGTCCTGCACAGTAGGGAAACCAATCCCCTCTCCCCACACTTCCAGCCAGAGAAACAGTCTGGCAGTCCTACCCGGGACAAACCTGCCATTGAGCTGGCCAAACCACTGCATGCCCTCTCCTGAAGGGGAGAGGACCCAGCAGCTGACATAACCCTAGGCCAGCTGAGTGTACATGCATCCTCACCCAGGGCCTGGGAAACAGTCCTGTGCCTCCTCCCCAACAAACATGGCCACAGACATGTCCCCAGGCCTCCCCAGCAGCCCCATGCCCTCACTCAAGGCCTGAGAAATAGCCCTGTGAGCCCTCCATGTGGCAGATACACCCCCATGACTAATCAGCAGCCCACACCAACACTCAGGATCTGGGAAACTGTCAAGGGTGTCGCTCCCAGAGGACACATCCCCAGACCTACATATCAGTTCCATACCCACAACTGGGGCCTGAGAAACAGCAGGGCAGATCCACTCCCAGTGGACATCCCCCCCAGGCCAGCCCAGCAGTCACATCCACGGCTGAGAAACAGCCCCACAAGCTCACTGTTGGCAAATATAACCCCAGGCCTACCAAGTGGCCCCGTGCCTGTAACCAGAGCCTAAGAAACAACCCAGTGGATCCACCACTAGTGGAAACTCAGCCAGGCCAGCTGAGTGTCTGCATGATTATGTCCTGGGCCTGAGAAACAGCCAGCGGGCCCCTACTGTGAACAACCCTAGACTGACAGATTGTGCATTCACCCCCAGGAACTGAGAAACAGCACAGCAGGCATGCCCCTGGTGGACATACCTACAGACCAGCTGAGCAGGTGGGGACCTGTACCCAGGGCCTAAGAAATAATCTGGTGGGCCCACTCTCAGCAGACATGCCCCCAGACTGGCCGAGTGGCTGCCCACCCACTCCAGAACCTAAGAAACAGCCCAGTGGGTCCACCCCTAGCAGACATGCCCTGAGGATAGCCAAACAACCATGTGCTTGTGCCCAGGGCCAGAGTAAGAGCCCCATAGTCCCAAACCCAGCAAGCCAGATGCCAAGTTGAGTAACCCACCATGTGCACACAAGCACCCATAACCTGAAAAGCAGGCTGGCAAACCAACTCCCAGCAAAGCTGTGCCACTGCTGCCACAAACTCACCACCTAGGTCATAGGGACACTTGCAAACATCACTAGAATGGATTACATATAAATAAGCTTTTTCTTAAGAAGCCTACACCATAAAATTAGAAGAGGCGACAATTGCACCAGATATGTAGGTATCAACATAGAAACACATCAAACATGAAAAAGCAAGAAAATATGATAGACCCCCCAAATCAACCCAGTAATTCTCCAGTAACATAACCAATTATAAGGCAATATATGAAATGCCAGAAGAAGAATTCAAAATAATAATCTTAAGGAAACTCAATGAGATAAAAGAGAATACAGATAAACAATTCAATAAAATCAGGAAAACAATTTGTGATTTAAATGAAAAATTCAACAAAAAGATAGCTATCATAAAAAAAGAGATTTTAGAGCTGAAGAAGTCAATGAATGAAATAAAAAATACGATTTTTCAACAACAGCATAGAAAACGTAGAGGAAAGGATTTCTGAACTTGAAGACAAGTCTTTTGAAATAATACATGAGGATTTTAAAAACAAAAAGAAAAAGAATTTTAAAAAAATAAAGTTTACAGGATTTAGGAGACATCAGTAAGCAAAAAACATTCACATTATAAAAATTCTGGAAGGAGAAAAGAAAGAAAAAGGCACAGAAAACATATTTAATAAAATAATAGCAGAAAACTTTCCAAGTTTTGGGAGAGAGAGAGAGATTCAGATCCAAGAAGTTCAAAATTTCCCAAATAGATTTAACCCAAATACATCCTCTCTAAGGAATGTTATAGTCAAATTATCAAAAGGCAAAGACAAAGGAAGAATGATAAAAACACGCAAGAGAAAAGCATCAAGCCAAATATAAGGGAATCCCCCTTATACTGATAGCAGATTTCTCATCAGAAACCTTATGGGCCAAGAGAAAATGGAGTGATACATTCAAAGTACTGAAAGAAAATAACTGTCAGTGAATATTATATCCAGAAAAACTATCCTTCAGAAATAAAGGCAAGACTGTCACCAAGCAGAAAAAAAAAATCAATAAAATGACAGATGTAAGTTCTCATCTATCAAATAATCTTGAATGTAAATGGATTCAATTTCCCAATTAAAAGATATAGACTGGCCAAGTGGATTTAAAAATATAAGACCCAGCTGGGCATGGTGGCTCACGCCTGTAATCCTAGCACTTTGGGAGGCCAAGGAGGGTGCATTACCTGAAGTCAAGAGTTTGAGACTAGCCCGGCCAACATGATGAAACCCCATCCCTACTAAAAATACAAAAATTAGCTGGACATGGTGGCGGGCACCTGTAATCCCAGCTACTCAGGAGGCTGAGGCAGGAGAATTGCTTGAACCGGGGAAGCAGAGGTTGCAGTGAACCAAGATCATGCCATTGCACTCCAGCCTGGGTGACAAGAGCGAAACTCCATCTCAAAAAACCAACTATATGCCACCTACAGGAAACTCATCTCACCTGTAAAGACACACATAAACTGAAAGTGGAGTGGAAAAAAGACATGCAAACAGAATCCAAATACAAGCAGGAGTAGCTATACTTACATTAGATAAAACAGACTTTAAGACAAAGGCTATATAAAAAAGAACATTATGTAAAAATAAAGGAATTTATTCAGCAAGACGACATAACAATTGGAAATATATATGGACCCAATGTTGGAGCACCCAGATATATAAAGCTAATATTATTAAAGCTAAAGGGAGAGATAAACCTCAAAGCAATAATAGGTGGGGACTTCAACACCCTACTTTCAGCATTAGGCAGATGATCTAGACAGAAAATCAAGAAACATTGGATCTAAACCACACCATAAATCAAACAGACCTAACAGACCTTTACAGAACATTTTATATAACAGCTGCAAAATACACATTATTTTCACCAGCACATGGAACATTCTCCAGAATTGACAATATGTTAGGTCACAAAACAAGTCTCAAATAATTTTTAAAAATTACAATCATATCATCTTATGTGACCACAATGGAATAAAATTAGAAATCAATAACAAGAGGAACATTTGAAACTATACAAATACATGAAAGTTAAACAGCATGTTCCTGAATGACAAATGAGTAAAGAAAGAAATTAAGAAGTTTAAGAATTTCTTGAAACAAATGAAAATAGAAACACAAAATACCAAAACCTAAGGGATACAGCAAAAGCAGCATTAAGAGGCAAATCCATAGCAATAAATCCCTACATCAAAAAAGTAGTAATATTTCAAATTAACATCCTAACAGCACATATTAAGGAAGAAAACCAGGAATAAACTGAACCCAAAATTAGTAGGAGGAATAAAGATCAGAGCAGAACTCAATGAAACTGAACCTAAAAAGAAATGCAAAAAACCAACAACAAAAAAGTTTTGTTTTTTCTGTTTGCAATATTTTAACTTCAGGGGTATATAGGTAGGATGTGCAGGTTTATTAGGTAAATGTATGCCATGGTGATTTGCTGCACAGATCATTCCATCACCGAGGTATTAAGCCCAGCATCCATCAGCTATTCTTTCTGATGCTCTCCCTCCTCCCACTCCCCACCCTCTGACAGGCTCCAGTGTGTGTTTCCACCCTCCATATGTCCATGTGTTCTTATCATTCAGCTCCCACTTATAAGTGAGAAAATGCACTGTTTGGTTTTCTGTTTCTGCATTAGTTTGCTGAGGATAATCTAATCACCTCCACCTGCATCCATGTCCCTGCAAAGGACATGAACTCATCTATACATGGCTGCATAATATTTCATGGTATATATGTACCACATTTTCTTTATTCAGTCTATCACTGATGGGCATTTAGGTTGACTTCATGTCTTTGCTATTGTGAATAGTGCTGCAATGAACATACACGTGCATGTATCCTTAAAATGGAATTATTTATATTCCTTTGGGTATATACCCAGTAATCAGATTGCCGAGTCAAACAGTATTTCTGCCTCTATGTCTTTGATGAATCACCACATTGTCTTCCACAATGGTTGCACTAATTTACACTCCCACCAACAGTGTAAAAGTGTTCCTTTTTCTCCATAACCTCGCTAGCATCTGTTGTTTCTGGACTTTTTAGTAATCACCATTCTGACTGGTGTGAGATAGTATCTCATTGTAGTTTTGATTTGCATTTCTCTAATGATCAGTGATGTTGAGCTTTTTTTCATATGTTTCTTGGTTGCATGTATGTCTTCTTTTGAGAATTATCTATTCATGTTCCTTACCCACTTTTTAATGGGGTTCTTTTTTTCTTATACATTTGTTTAAGTTCCTTGTAGATGCTGGACATTAGGCCTTTGTTAGATGAATAGATTATAAAACTTTTCTCCCATTCTGTAGGTTGTCTGTTTACTCTGTTGATAGTTTCTTTGGCTGTGCAGAAGCTCTTTAGTTTAATCAGATCCCATTTGTCAATTTTTGTTTTTGTTGAAGTTGCTTTTGGCATCTTTGTCATGAAATCATGAAATCTTTGCCTGAGCCTATGTCCTGAATGATATTGTCTTGATTTTCTTCTAGGGTTTTTAGAGTTTGGGGTTTTACGTTTAAGTCTTTAATCCATCTTGAGTTGATTTTTGTACATGATGTAAGGAAGGTGTTTTACTCTGCTCTCATGCTGCTAATAAAGACATACCCAAGACTGGATAATTTATAAAAGAAAGAGGTTTAATTGACTCATAGTTCAGCATGGCTTGGGAGGCCTCAGAAAATTTACAATCACGACAGAAGGGGAAGCAGACATGTCCTTTTTCACATGGCAGCAGCATGGAGAAGTGCCAAGCAAAAGGAGGAAAAGCCCCTTATAAAACCGTCAAATCTCATGAGAATTCACTCACTATCATGAGAACAGCATGAGAGTAACTGCCCCCCATGATTAAATTACCTCCCAGCAGGTCCCTCCCATGACACATGGAGATTATAGAAACTACATTTCAAGATGAGATTTGGGTGGGGACACAGCCAAACCATATCAGAAGGGGTCCACTTTCAATTTTCTTCATATGGCTAGCCAGCTGTCCCAGCACCATTTATTAAATAGGGAATCCTTTCCCCATTGCTTGTTTCTGTCAGGTTTGTCAAAGATAAGATAGTTGTAGGTGTGCGGTGTTATTTCTGGGTTCTCTATTCTGTTCCATTGGTCTATGTGTCTGTTCTCGTACAACTACCATGCTGTTTTGATTACTGTAGCCCTATAGTATAGTTTGAAGTCAGGTAGCATGATGCTTCCAGCTTTGTTCTTTTTGCTGAGAATTGCCTTTGCTATTTGGGTTATGTTTTGGTTCCATATGAATTTTAAAACTGTTTTTTCTAATTCTGTGAACAATGTCAATTGTAGCTTAATGGGAATAGCACTGAATCTATAAACTATTTTGGGCAGTATGGTCATTTTCACAATATTGATTCTTCCTATCCATGAGCATGGACTGTTTTTCCATTTGTTTGTGTCATCTCTGATTTCTTTGAGCAGCAGTTTATAGTTTTTCTTAAAGAGGTCCTTCACTTCCCTTGTTAGTTGTTTTCCTAGGTATTTTATTCTTTTGTGGCAATTGTGAATGGGCGTTCATTTATGATTTGGCTCTTGTCTTGTCTGTTGTTGGTGTATAGGAATACTAGCAATTTTTGCACAATGATTTTGGATCCTGAAACTTTGCAGAAGTTACTTATCAGCTTAAGAAGCTTTTGGGCTGAGATGATGGGGTTTTCTAGATATAGAATCATGTTATCTGCAAACAAAGATAACTTGAGTTCCTCTCCTCCTATTTGAATTTTCTTTGTTTCTTTCTCTTGCATGATTACCCTGGCCACAACTTCCAATACCATGTTAAATAGAAGTGGTGAGAGAGGGCATCCTTGTCTTGTGCCAGTTTTCAAGGGGAATGCTTCTAGTTTTTGCCCATTCAGTATGATATGAGCTGTGGGTTTGTAAAAAGATTAACATAATTGACAAGCCATTAGCTAGATGAATAAAGAAAAAAAGAGAAAAAACCAAATTAATAAAATCAGAAACAAAAAGGAGACATAATAACAGAGACTACATAAATACAAAAGACCATTAGAAACTATTATGAACAACTACACATGAATAAATTCAAAAGATTAGAGAAAACTGAAAAATTCCCGGATACAGACAACCTAACAACTTTAAACCAACAAGAAATGGAAAACCTCAGTCCAATAATGAGTAATGAGATTGAATTAGTAATGAAAAGTCTCCCAACAAAGAAAAGTCCAGGAACAAATGGCTTCACAGCTGAATTCTACCAAACTTTTAAAGAACTAATACCAGTCCTTGATACACAGATGAAATACTTCAAACTATTCCAAAAAATTGAATGTAAAACTCATTTGAATGTCATCGAATGTCAAAACTCATTTGACAAGCCCAGCATGATTGTGATACAAAAACCAGATAAGACACAGCAAAAAAGAAAAGCACAAGCCAATACTACTAATAAACATATATATAAAATACTAGCAAATGAATTCAACAGAACATCAAAAACATCAGGCACCATAATCAAGTGAGATTCACCTCAGATATGCAAGGATGGTTCAACATATGCAAATCGATATTTGTGATACATTGCATCAACAAAATGAAGAACAAAAACTAGGTGATTATTTTAATATCATATGATCAGAAAAAGCATTTTATAAAATTCAACATCCCTTCATCACTAAAAACTTTCAATAAATTAGGTACAGAAGAAAGTACTTCAACACAATAAAGGCCATCTATAGGCCATGTAGCTAATATTATACTAAATGGGGAAAAGCTTTCAGCTTTTAAGAATTAGAAGAAGAATTAGAAGAAAAAGTGCCTACTCTCACCCTTGTTATTCAAGATAGTACTGGAAGTCTGGCCCAGAGAAATTAGGCAAGAAAAATAAATAAGTAAAGTACATCCAATTTAGAAAGGAGGAAGTCAAATTGTCCATGTTTCCAGATAAAATTATCTTATATAGAGAAACCCTAAAGACTGCACCAAAAAACTGTTAACACTGATAAACAAATTCAATAAAGTTGCAGCATACAAAATCAATAGACAAAACTTAGTAGCATTTCTATACACAAACAACAAACCAGATGAAAAGGAAATCATGAAAGCAATCCCATTTACAATAGCTACAAAAATATATAAATGAATGAATAAAATATCTACGAATGAATTTAACCAAGGAGATGAAAGATCTCTGCAAGTAAAGCCATACAACACTGCAGAAAGAAATTTAAGAAGACACAAAAAATAGAAAGACATCCCATATTCATGGACTAGAATAACTAATATTGTTAAAATGCCCATACTACCCAAAGTAGTCTACAGAATAAATGTAATTACTATCAAGATACCAATGAAGTGTCATTTCATTTAACAAAAATAGAAAAAAAATCCTGAAATTTACATGGAACCACAAAAGACCCGAAACAGCCAAAGCCCATACTGAGCAAAAAACAAACAAACCAAAAAAAAAAAAAAAACAAGCTGCGGCATCACACTAACAGACTTCAAAATATACCATAAAGCTGTACTAATCAAAACAGCATGGTACTGGCATAAAAACCGACACATAGAAAAATGGAACAGCATAGAGAACCCAGAAATTAGTCCACATATATACAGTCAACTGCTTTGACAAAGATGTCAAGAACATACATTTGGGAAAGGACACCTTCTTTAATAAATGGCGCTGGGTAAACTGAATATTCATATGCAGAAGAATGAAACTAGACCTCCTGCCTCTCACCCCATACAAAAATCAACTCAAAATTCATTGAAGACCTAAATATAAGACCAGAAACTATAAAACTGCTAGAAGAAAACACCGATGAAATACTTCAGGACATTGATCTGAGAAATAATTTTAAGAATAAGACCTCAATAGCATAGGTAACTAAAGCAAAAATAAACACATGGGATTATATAAAACTAAAAACCTTCTGCACAGCAAAACAATAAACAGAATGAATAAACTTACAGAATGGGATAAAATATTTGTAAAATATTCATCCAACAAAAGAGTAATATCCAGATATACAAGGAATTCAAATATCTCCACAATAACAGAAAAACTAACTTAAAAATGGGTAATTGATACAGATATTTCTGAACAGAAGACATACATATGGTTAACAAATACATGAAAAAGTGCTCAACATCACTAATCATCAAGGAAATGTCAATTAAAATCACAAGGAGATATCATTCACCCCAGTTAGAATGGCTATTATCAAAAAGACACAAATAAATGTTGGTGAGGATGCAAAGAAAAGGGAATTCTTATAAATCACTGATAGGAATGTAAACTAATACAGTCTCTATGAAGAATAGTATGGAAGTTCCTAAAAAAATTAGAAATAGAAATGTCATATGATCCAGCAATCTTGCTCGTAAACATTTATTCAAAGGAAAGGAAATAAATATGTTAAAGAAATATCTATCTGCACCCCTATGTTTATTACAGCAATATTCACAATAGCCAAGACAGGAAATCAACCCAAACGCCCAATAACAAATGAATGGATAAAGAAAATGTGGTATATATACACAATGGAATACTATTCAGCCATAAAAAATGAAATCTTGTCATTCACAGCAACATGGATGGAACCGGAGGATATTATGTTGAGTGAAATAAGCCAAGAACAAAAAGCCAAACATCACATGTTCTCATTCTATGCAGAAGTTTAAAAAAAGTTGGTCTCATAGAAGTAAAAGGCAGAACACAGGCTTCTATAGACTACAAAGGGTAAGGGAAAGGGGGGAATAGAGGAAATTTGTTAAAGGGCACAAAATTATAGCTAGGTAGGATGAGCAAGTTCTATTGTTTTATAGTACTGTAGGATGACTATAGTTCACAATAATATATTACATATTTTCAAAGAGCTAGAAGAAGATATTGAATGTTCCCAACACAAGGAAATGTTTGAAGTGAAGGATATGCCAATTACCATGATCTGATTACTACAAATTGTATGTATCAAAATATTACTATGTACCCCATAAATATGTGCAATTATTATGTGTCAGTTAAAATTAATATAAATAAGTAACTAAAGCAGAAGCAGGAGAGGAACAGAGATGAGAGCCCTCATCTAGTTCAACTTTCTAATTCCATAATTTCTGAGATCAACATGCATTCCTTCCCTTGAGCTCTGTAGAGTTTTTCACAATCACAATAGTTTTAATCTATTTCAAATTTTGTTTTTGAAAAGTTGCTATATTGTAGTTAAAAAAATGAAAAAAATAAGAAATACTTTAAATAATAATGACTAAGAATTTTCTCCAAATTAATTTCAGACACTAAATCACAGATCCAGGAAACTCAGAGAACGCCAAGCAGAATAAATGCCAAAAATAACCTACACCTAGATGTATTATTTTCAAATTACAGAAAATCAAATGTAAAGAAATACTTCAGAAAGAAGCCAGAAGGGAAAAACACCTTACCTACCAAGAAGAAAAGAAAAGAATTATACCCAACTTCTCCTCAGAGACCATGCAAGCAAGAAGACAGCAAAGTAAAATATTTGAGGTGTTGAGGGAAAAAAACTACCAACCTAGAATTTCATGTCCTGCAAAAACTATCCTCCAAAACTGAAGGAGAAATAAAGATGTTCTCAGACAAACAAAAATTGTGGGAATTTGTTGTCTGTAGGCCTGCCTTCCAAAAAATGTTGAGAGAAATTTTTTTAGAGAGAAGTAAAATAATATCAGTCAAAAACTCAGATCTATATCAAGAAGAACACTGGAAAACAAACAAGTGAAGGTAAAATTAAAACTTGCATTTTTCTTATTCTTAATTAATCTAACAGATAACACTTTGTCCAAAATAATGATAGTAACAATGTATTTGATTATGTATGTGTTATGTATAAGAAGAATGAATAAAATAATGATACAAGGAAAGGAAGGAAGGAACTAGGACTATTTTGTTATTGCAAGGTATTCACACTACCCATGAAACAGTATATAGTAGTATTTGAAAGTTAATTTGGATTCATTATAAATGTATATTGCAAGCTCAAGTGATGACTAAAAAAGTAAAAATAGAAATATAACTAATATGCTAAGGAGGATAGAAAATGGCATCATATAAAATACTCAGGTAAAATCATAAGAGGCAGGAAAAGAGTAGAAGACAAAAATAGGAACAAAGAACAGAGGCACTAAAAGAAAACAGTAACAACTGTGGTAGATATTAATCTAACAGTATCAGTAATCACTTTGAACATCAATGGTCTGAATGCACCAAATAAAAGACGGAGATTGTCAGAGTAGATCAAAAAGCAAGACCAATTATATGTTGTCTACAAAAAACCTTGAAATCTAAAGAGATATATATATATATGTAGTTTGAAAGAAAAGGGATGAATAAAGATAAGTCATGCTAATACTAATCAAAAGGAAATGGAAGTAGCTATATTAATTTTACACAGCAATGACTTCAGAGCAAGAAAAGTTATTACATAATGATGTGTTATCATTACATAATAATATATGAGTCAATTCTCCAAAAAGAAATAATAATCCTTAACATATGTGCACCTAGCAAAAGAGGATCAAAATATATGAGGCAAAAACTGATAGAACAGCAAGGAGAAATAAATGAATCTGCTATAATAGTTGGAGACTTCAATACCCCTCTATTAGAAACAGACAGATCCAGCAGGCAGAAATTCAGTAACAAAATAGCTGAATTCAACAATACCATCAATTAACTAGTATAACTGACATCTATAGATGACTTTTTCTAACAAGAGCAGCATACACATTCTTCTCCAGCTCATATGAAACTTGTACCAAAATAGACCACATTCTGAGCCATAAAACACATCCTAACAAATATAAAAAATAGAAATTACATAATGCCTGCTTTTAGACCATGATGGAATTAAACTGGAAATGAAAAACAAAAAGGTAGTGGAAAGTTCCAAAATATTTGGAGATTATACCACAGACTTCTAAATAATGCATAGGTGAAAAAAGAAACCTAAAGAGAAATTTTAAAATATTTTTAAATAAATGAAAATGAAAACACAATTTATCAAAATTTGTGGATGCAGCAGGAGTAGTTCTTAGAGGGAAATTTATAGCATTGAATGCACATATTAGAAAATTAGAAAGGTCTAAAATCAATCACCCAGACTCCAACTTTACGAAACTAGAAAATAGAAGAGCAAATTAAATCCAAATTAAGCAGAAGAAAATATAAATTAGAACAGAAGACAATAAAATTGAAAATGAGAAAATCAATAAAACCAAAACCTGGTTCTTTGAAAAGATCAATAAAATTGATAAGTCACTGGCCAGACCAAGAAAAAAAGAGAGAAGATACAAGTTGCTAATATCTGATATGAAAGAGGGTATATTAACACAGATGCCATTTACATTAAAATGATAATAACAGAATACTATGAAGAATTCTATGCCCACAAATTTGACAACACAGATGAAATAAACCAATTCTTGAAAAGATACAACCTGCCAAAACAATTTGGCAGTTTAAACAGGACTATATCTAGTAAATAAATTAAAGGAGAAACAGGCAAATTGAACAGGACTGTATCTATTAAATAAATTGAATCAATAATTAATAACCTTTCAGGACACACAGTACGAGGCCTAGATGGGTTCACTGATAAATTCTGTTAAATATTTAAGGAAGAAATCATACCAGCTCTCCTTAATCTCTTTCAGAAACAGAAGCAGAGGGAATGCTTCCTAACTCATTCTATCAGGTTAGCATTATCCTAATAACCAAACCAGACAAAAACATTACAAAAAAGAAAACCACAGACCAATATCTCTCATAAACATACATTTTTAAATCCTCAGTAAAATATTAGTAAATCAAATTCAAGAATGTAGTAAAAGAATTATATTCCATGAACAACTGGGGTTTATTCCAGATATGCAAGCCTGGCTCAAAATTCAAAAATGAATTAATATCTTCCATCACATCAATAAGCTAAATAATATGATCATTTCCATAGATACATAAAAAGCATTTGACAAAATTTAACATTCATTTATGATTTTTTAAAAACTCTCAGTAAACTGGGATAAAGAGAAATTTCTCAACTTAAAAAACATCTACAAAAAACTCTACAGCTAGCATCATAATTAATGGTGAGAAAGCAAAGCATCAGGAGCAAAGCAAGATGACTCTTTTCACCACTGCTTTTCTAACTAATGCTTTTCTAACTAATTCACCACTGGAATTTCTAACTAATGCAATAAGACAAGAAAAAATAAATAAAAGGGATCAAGATCAGTAACGAAGAAATAAAACTGTCTTTGTTCATACATGACATAATTATCTATGTAAAGCATCTGAAAGAATTGACCAAAAAAACTCCTAGAACTAATAAGAAATTGCAGCAAGGTTGCAAAATACAAGGTTAACATACAAAAGTCAATTTTTTGTATTGTATTGACTCATTGATGTGATGGAAGATATTAATTCAAGGTTAACATACAAAAGTCAATGTTTGTATGACAATTTCCAATAAGTCACCAGTGAACAAGTGGAATTTGAAGTTAAAAACACAATACCATTTATATTAGCATCCCCAAAAATGAAATACTTAGGTATAAGTCTAACAAAATATGTGCAACATCTATATGAGGAAAACTATAAAACTCTGATGGAAAAGAATCAAAGAAAATCTAAGTAAATGGAGTGAGACCTCATGTTCACAGATAGGGTGAATGAATATTACCAAAGTCCCAGTTTTTCCCAACTTGATCTATGTATTCAACACAATCCCAACCAAAATCTCAGCAAGTTATTTTATGGACATAAACAAACTGATTTTTAAGTTTATCTAGAGAGGCAAAAGACTCAGAATAGTCAACACATTATTGAAGAAGAACAAAGTTTGAGGCCTGACACTATTCGACTTCAAGATTTACTATAAAGCTACAATAATCAAGTCAGTATTTTATTAGCAAAAGAAGAGCTAAATAAGTAAATGAAACCAAATAGAGAGCCCAGAAATAGGCTCACATAAATATTGTATTTGGAAATTAGCAAAGGCAATACATTGGAGTCTTTTGAACAAATGGTGTTGGAACGACTGGACATCCAGATGCAAAAATAAATTAAATCTAGATACAGACCTCACACCTTTCACAAAAATAAACTCAAAATGGATCAGTGTCCTAAATATAAAAATGCAAAACTAAAAACACTCCTAGAAGGTAACATAAGAGAAAGTCCAAATGATCTTTGGTTTGGCAGTGACATTTTAGCTACCACAGTAAAGGCACAATCCATAAAATAAAGAATCTATAAACTGGACTTCAGTAAAATTAAAAATTTCTACTCTGTGAAAAATTTCTAAGAGCAGTGGCTCACGCCTGTAATCACAGCACTTTGGAAGGCCGAGGCGGGCGGATCACGAGGTCAGGAAATCGAGACCATCTTGGCTAACACGGTGAAACCCCGTCTCTACTAAAAATACAAAAATTAGCAGGGCGTGGTAGCTGGCGCCTGTAGTCCCAGCTACTCTACTCCGGAGGCTGAGGCAGAAGAATGGCGTGAACCCGGGAGGCGGAGCTTGCAGTGAGCCAAGATCGCGCCACTGCACTCCAGCCTGGGCGACAAAGCGAGACTCCGTCTCAAAAAAAAAAAAAAAAAAAAGGAGAACGAAAAGATAAGCCACATACTAAAAAAAAAATACAGTCATCCCTTGTTGCCTCTGAGGGATTCCATCACCCCATGGATACCAAAATCCACAGATGCTCATATCCCTTGTATAAAATGGCTTAGTATTTGCATATAACCACCTGTATTTTTTAAATCGTCTCTAGATTACTTATAATACCTAATACAATGCCTGTATATCACTACATCCTGTGGACTCAATGTAGTAAGGCAAATTCAAGTTTTGCTTTTTGGAACTTTGTGGAATTTTTTCCAAATATTTCCAATCCATGGTTGGTTGGATCCACAGATTTGAAACCCATGGATACAGAGGGCCAACTGTATTTTCAAAAGACATATCCGATAAAAGACTGTTATCCAAAACACACAAAGGAACCTTAAAACTCAGCAATATGCAAGCAAACAACCAGATTAAAAAACAGGTCAAAAATCTTAACAGGCACTTTACCAAAGAAGATATATATGGAAAATGTACATATTTATGGAAAATAAGCATATGAAAAGATGCTCTACATCATATGTCATCAAAGAAAGGCAAATTAAAACAACAATGAGAACCACTACACACCAAAGGCGAGGAGTGGAGCAACAGGAACTTAATTGGTAGCAGGAATGCAAAGTGGTACATCTACTTTGAAAGACAGTTTGGCAGTTTCTTACAAAACTAAGCAATCTCCTACCATGCAATCCAACAATCATGCTTTTTGGTATTTACCCTAAGAGTTGAAAACTTACATCCATACAAAAACCCGTGCATGGGTGTTAATTGCAGCTTTTTTCCTAATTGCCAAAACTTGGAAGCAGCCAAGATGTCTTTTACCAGGCAAATGAATAAACTGTGGTATAGTCAAACAATGGAATATTATTCAGTACTAAAAAAAAAGAGCCATTAAGACATGGAAAGTCATGGGGGAACACTTAAATGCATATTATTAAGTGAAAAAAGCCAGTCTGAAAATGCTGCATACTGTAACGTTCCAATTATATGACACTCTGGAAAAGACAAAACTATGGAGACAGTATACCAGGATTGCCTGGGGTTAGTGGGCAGGGAAGGATGAATAGGTAGAATAGAGACGATTTTTAGGTCAGTGAAATTACTCTATAAAATATTATCATGGTGGAGACATGTCATTATGCATTTGCCTGAAAACATTCATATTCAACCCTAAAAGTGACCTCTAATGCAAACTTTGGACTTTGATAATGTGATAATGATGATGTTTCAATGTAGGTTCATTAATTGAAACAAATGTACCACTCTAGTCAGGTATGTTGATAATGGGGAGGCTTTGCACATGTGGGGGCAGAGGTCATAGGGGAAATTTCTGTACTTTCCACTCAATTGTGCTACGATCCTAAAACTTCTCTAAAAAAATAAAGTCTGTTAACTTTTCTTTTCTGTTTCAATGTTAATTAAAATGGCAAACAAAAATTTTGGAGAAAATAGGGTTGAGAGAGGATATAGAAAATAAATCATTAACACCTATTAAGATCTGCTTATTAAAAAGTGCTCTGGGATAATAATCTAGGTTTCAAAAGTTGAATAACAAATTTTTTGAATAGGCCATTGGTTTTGTTTAGTGATCCCATTCTTAAAATAGGTACTAAATAAGCATAGAAATAATTTCAGAATGAAAAATTTATTAACACTCTTAAATATAATATCATTTAGATAATACAGATAATGCATGAGACAATTCAAGATCCAAAAATGTAAAACCTATATGGACATCAAGCACTCCCCTACTAGAATTATTGTTAAAAGATGCACATTACCTAAAGCATGATTCTCCTTGCTAGTTTGCAGCATTAATGAGTTGTTTGGTTGAGCAGCACCCTCCGCTTCTGAATTTTGAAAAAGACATAGGGGGTAGAGAGAGAAATATGCATTAATAGATCTGACTCCTAGTTAAAATCATATTTTTTCACATTCTTCAGACTATTTTTGTATTGCAGTTGCCAATGAATATCTAAATTATGACAGCCAAGCAAAAGTCTTGGCAAAATTTGTCCCAGTATAAACTTTTGACTTTCTCTTCCTGACTCTGGCATAGTCCTGCTTTAAGCCCAGAGTGCCCATCACCCCCCTCTTGCTTTATATTCAAGTCTTCTTCCAGGCTTTTAGTCTATCTCTGAGTGTGGAAGAAATTATTTTACTAGGCTTTTCAAGCACCAATGAGGAGGTAAAAAAAGTTTAGTGGGGACTATTGATTGGCTGCTGGTATGGAATAAAAGGATTTTCCTAAGCATTGTTGAAGTCACATCATAGAATCTATGATGGGAAAACGGTCCCCAACCTTTTTGGCACCAGGGACCCATTTCGAGGAAGATAATTTTTCCACCACGGACAAGGAGGAAGGGAGCACGATAGTTCTCGGATGAAACTGTTACACCTCAGATCATCAGGCATTAGTTCAATTCTCATAAGGAATGCACAGCCTAGATTCCTGGCATGCACAGTTCACAATAGGGTTCATGCTCCTGTGAGCATCTAATGCCTCCAACTGATCTGACAAGAGGTGGAGCTCAGGCCGCAATTCTCACTCACCTGCCGCTCACCCCCTGCTGTGCGGCCCAATCCCTAATAGGCCAAGGACTGGTACCAGTCTGCAGCCCCAGGGTTGGGGACCCGTGATATAGACAATGGCCTATTAAGTTCACATTTCTGCAAGGCAAGCTCTTAGTGAGAATTGGTAGTACACATCTTTTAAGCAGCAATTATTGGCAAAGTACTCTGCTAGGCACAGAGATATCATAATAAACAATATCCCCTTTTTTCCAAGAGCTTAAGATCCAGGAGAGGCAGTAGCTAGGGAAACAATTATAATGCAAAGTTTTCAGTGCAATGATCGAAGTTGCCTGTGATGTATAGAAGTTTAAAAGAAGAGATGTTTAAATTCCAGGAAAACAGGAGTAAGAGATTAGGCATGCTTTCCTATAATAAGTAATTTTTTAGCTGGATCTAAGTACATGAGGAGTTTTCCAGGAAGACAGAAGGGAAAATGCAAACAAAAATAATGGCATTTAAAGGAGGTACAAAGCCAAATAAAAATTTACAAGAGTTATAAATAGTTTAGTATTGCCATGAAGTGAGAAAACCTGGATGTGTAATTGGAGTTGAGGCTGGATATCGGCAGGCTCTAACTGTGCAAGGCACAAAGCTCCTGGAATGTGTTCACAAGGAAAAGATACACTCGTAGCTTATCTATAGTGAGTGTATCTGACTGGCAAAGAGACACCTTTTAGAGTAAAATTTAATGCTCAGTGTTTTTCTGGAAAAAGTTTTAATCTACTGCCCCTTTCAGCTGCCATTTTCTTTAGCAAACTGTTCTTTTAAGATAATTTATGGAATGAGTATAACAGGAATAGATTTTGGGTAATTTGCCTATGTTCTTTATTTCCATCTCTCTATAACTAGCAGATATGATTATTTTCATTTTACAGATAAAGAAATGTAGATTAAGTGATTAAGCAATTTGACCAAGACTACCTGGCTAGTAAGCTGCTTCAGTTACCCAATTATGAATCTTAGTGCAAGTAAGTCTTACTGCTATGAGTAGAAATCAATGGTTAGAGCCTAAGAAATATGCTAGGATAGATACACAACCCAAATTAACCCAAACTGAAGTGAGTTTAAGCCATGTTATTGCAAGAGCACTGAGAGACAAACTTTTAAAAAAGCAGATCGCATGGCAAGTCCATAAAATCAGGATTACAAAGGCATCTGGACACAGACACTATGAATTCTAGATCTGAACGGGAATAGTTAAGTTCGGGAAGAGACAATTGTCAGAATTCATGGGCTTAGAACAGTGGCCTGCACAGCTCCCTGGCACGTGGCTAGATGAAGCTGGATTAAAAATAAAGATCAACCCAAACCTATAGCAAACCAGACTAAACATATGGACAGAAATTTTATGGAAAAAGAAGTAAAAATATCTCTTAGTCATATGAAAATATATTTCACATCAGTCATGGTAAGAGGAATCCAAATTAAAAGTATTTGGAAATACCATTTCTCATCTATAACTGGCAAAATCCAAAAGTTTGACAACATACACTGTTGGGTGAGGTTGTGGAGAGATAGGTATGTCTGTATGTTGGTATTGTTCAATTTTATAGTGAGGAAGAAAGAAGATAATAGATGTAAAATAAGTAAGTTTAATACAAAAATTAGCCGGATGTGGTGGCAGATGCCTGTAATCCCAGCTACTTGGGAGGCTGATGCAGAGAATTGCTTGAACCCGGGAGGCAGAGGTTGCAGTGAGCTGAGATCACACCACTGCACTCCAGCCTGGGTGACAGAGTGACACTCCGTCAAAGAAAAAAAAAAAAAGGAAAAAAAAATCCTCAGTCCTAAATTTTAATGAAAAGTATCAATATCAACTTAAGATGTATTTTTATCTTTCAAAATACATATTTCTTATCTGCTGCTAAGTTGTGGGGTAATTCATTACATAGTTATAAACAACTAATATAGTTATCAACCACACTGACCTAATTCATATTTTTAGTACCCTAACCCAGCATCTGCAGAATACATTCTTTGCAAGTGCACATCGTATATTCGCTGAGTTTGGCCACATTCTGTGCCACAAGTCTCAAAAACATTAAAAAAAACTGAAGTCATATAAAAGATGTCCTCCAACCAAAACAGAATTGAATTAGAAATCAATTACAATGAGATTTTTAAGAAAATACCAAATATTTAGAAATCAAACACACGTCTAAGCAACCCTTTGCTCAAAGAAGAAATTCATGAAGAAATTAAAGTTTTCACTGGATGATAATGAAAATACAACATGCCAAAATTTGAAATAAGCAGCTAACACAGTGGTTTTAGGAAAAGTAATACCTTTAAGTGCTAATTTTAAAGGAAGAAATGTGTAAAATTCACCCATAGAAGCAAGAAACAAAAGAGAGAAAACACAATAATAAATATAAGAGCAGAAATCAATAAAAGAGGAAACAAGCAATGCAAAAAATTAAGGAAATCAAAAGCTAGTTCTTTAAAAAGATAATCAACATTTATAAACTAACAACTAGACTGATAAGGAAAAAAATAGAACACAAATCTCTAATATCAGGAAGGAAGGAAGGGTCATTCATATAGATTTACATTCGTGAAAGGAAAAATGAGGGAATATTATTAACAATATTACGCTAATCAAATTCAGTAACAGTTGAAATGGACAAATTCATTGAAGACAAAGCTTTTGAAACCTACTTAAGAATAAAAAAACTGAAAAGCCTTATATCTTTAAAAAACTGAATTTGTTGATAAAAAGCCTTCTATCAAATTGGCTACACTGACAAATTTAAGCAAACATGTAAGAAAGAAGTAATATTAATTTTACACAAAAACCCTTTTAGAAAATCAAGGAGAGAACACTAACTCATTTTATGAAGGTAGAATTAACCATATATCAAAACTATACAAACACCTTACAAATTAAAAAACACATTATGAAATTTTTTCACAAAATATTAACATCAAATCTTGCACTATGTAAGAAGTAAAATATTAGGCATAGAATTTTCAAAGATGCACTTTAACAGTTTGAGGAAGTTTTCTTCTCTTCCTAGAACTAAATGAACTTAGTAAAGTAATAATATAAAATACTAATAATATTTTAAAACAATTACATTTTTCTATACTAGCACAAACAATTGGAAAATGAAATTTTAAAAATGTTTACAATAATGCAAAAAAAAAAGCCTAGGAAAAAAAGGTAATAAAAGTTGTGTAAGACCTGTATACTGAAAACTGTAAAATATTGCTGAGGTAAATTAGATAAACCCTATATAATGGAAAGTCCCAATATTATTAAGATGTCAATTCTCCTCAAGAACAGTCTCAATCAAAATGTAGTAGTCTTTTCTGTGTAAATTGAGAAGATAATTCTAAAATTTATATATGAATGCAAACCTAGAATAGCCAAGCTGTTTGTTTAAAAAGAATAACAAAAAAAAAAAAAGAGAGAAAAATTTACTTAAGTTTAAGCTACACTCTGAAGCTACAGTAATCAAAACAATCTGGTCTTGGCTAAAAGATAATCACATATGTCAATGGAATATAATACATAATCCAGAAATAGACACACATATATATACTTTATTGATTTTTATCTCCTTGGTTAAATTTATCTCTTAGTATTTTATTTTCTGTAGCTATTAAAAATAGGATTTTCTTTCTTTCTTTCTCAGATAGTTCACTGTTAGTGTATAGAAAAGCTACTAATTTTTAATGTTGATTTTGTATCCTGCAACTTTACTAAATTCATTTTTTAGTTCTAAGAATCAACCCAAATGTCCAACAATGATAGACTGGATTAAGAAAATGTGGCACATGTACACCATGGAATACTATGCAGCCATTAAAAATGATGAGTTCATGTCCTTTGCAGGGACATGGATGAAATTGGAAATCATCATTCTCAGTAAACTATCGCAAGAACAAAAAACCAAACACCGCATATTCTCACTCATAGGTGGGAATTGAACAATGAGAACACATGGACACAGGAAGGGGAACATCACACACCAGGGCCTGTTGTGGGGTGGGAGGAGGGGGGAGGGATAGCATTGGGAGATATACCTAATGCTACATGACGAGTTAGTGGGTGCAGCGCACCAGTGTGGCACATGTATACATATGTAACTAACCTGCACATTGTGCACATGTACCATAAAACTTAAAGTATAATAATAATAATAAATAAATAAATAAATAATTTTTCGTGGAGTCTTTGAGTTTCCCATATATAAGACCATGTTGTCTGCAAACAGGAACAATTTGACTTCTTTATTTTCTATCTGGATCCCTTTATTTGTTTCTCTTGCCTAATTCCTCCAGCTAGAACTTCCAGCATTATGAGGAAATATTATTAACAACTTTATGCTTCCAGTACCATGTTGAATACAAGCGGCAAGAGTGGGCATCCTTGTCTTGTTTCTGATCTTAGAGGAAAGGCTTTCCATTTTCCCCCATAAAGTGTGAAGCTAGCTGTGAGTTTTTCATGTATAATCATTATTGCACTGAAGTACTTTCCTTCTATACCTAATTTATTGAGAATTTTTATCATGAAAGGATGTTGAATTTTTAAAGGCTTTTTTGCATCTATGGAAATGATCATCTGGTTTCTATTCTTCATTCTGTTCCTGTGATGTCTCATGTTTATTGATTTGTGTATGTTGATCCTTACATCCCTGGGATGGAAGTCCACTTGATCATGATGAATGGTCTTTTTAATCTGCTATTTATTTTGGCTTGCTAGCATCTTGTTAAAGATTTTTTGCATTTATGTTTACCAGGGATATTGGCCTGTAGTTTTCTTTTTATCTGGCGTCCTTGTCTTATTTGGGTGTGAGGGTAATTCTGGCCTCGTAAAATGACTTTGGAAGTATTCCTTCGTCTTCAATTTTTGGAAGAATGAAAATAATTGGTGTTCTTCTTTACATGCTTGGTAGAATTCAGCAGTGAAGCCAACAGCTGCTGGACTTCTCTGATGGATGATTTTTTATTACTGATTTAATCTCTTGACTCATTACTGGGCTGTTCAATTTTTTTATTTCTTCATAATTAAATCTTGGTAGGTTGTCTATGTCCAGGAATTTATCCATTTCTCCTAGCTTATCCAATTTGTTGGCATATAATTGTGTTTATAACAGTCTCTTGTGATCCTTTGTGTTTCTACAGTATAAGTTGTAATGTCTCCTTTTTCATTCTCATTTTATGGATGTGAGTCTCTCTCTTTTTTTCTCAATTTATCAGCTATAGGTTTGTTGATTTTATTTATCTTTTTAAAAAGCAACTCATTTCATTAGTTTTTTTCTCATGATTTTTCTAGTCTCTATTTTATTTATTTATGTTCTGATATTTATTCTTTGCCTCCTTCTACTAATTTTGGGCTCAGTTTAACTTAAGGGTCAACATTCGGTTGTTTATTTGAGATTTTTCTTCTTTCTTAATGTAGGCACTTATTGCTATAAATCTTCCTCTTATAGCTGCTTTTGCTGTATCCCATAGGTCTTAGTATGTTGTATTTCCATTTTCATTTGTCTCAAGAAATGTCCTTAATTTCTCTTTTAATTTTATTGGCCAATTGGTTGTTCAGGAGTATGTTGTTTAATTTCCATGTATTTGTGAAGTTCCTCCTGTTATTGATTTCAGGCTTTATATCCATAATGATATATCCCCTCCAACCATAATGTTGGAGGGGATACTTGATATGATACCAATTTTCTTAAATTTGTTAAAAACTTGCTTTGTGCCTGTCATATTGTAAAATATACATTTGGGTTTTGACCCTGTTTCCTGACACACAACTCCTAAAATCCTTAAAGTCTCCAAAGTGATGTCTTTTGTGTATGCTCATTAGTTGACTGGTGGTTAGTAACTTCAGGATGGTGGCTGGTCACTGGGAAGACCAAGGCATGACTAGAGGGTTGACTTTCAGCCCCACCCTTCAACCTCTGGGGAGGGTAAACGTGCTGAAGGTTATGTTGATCACCAATGGCCAATGGCTAATAAATAATGCTTATCTAATGAAGCCTCCATAAAAACCCAAAGGACTGCATTCAGAGAGTTTCCAGATAGCTAAACATATGGAGGTTACTAGAAGGTGGTGTACCCGGAAAGAGCATGGGAATTCTGCACCCCTTCCCACATGCCTTGCCCTATGCACTTTTTCATCTGTATCCTTTGTAATATCTTTCATAATAAACTAGTAAACATAAGTAAGTATTTCGCTGAGTTCTGTGAGTTGTTCTAGAAAATTAATCGAACCAAAGGAGGGGGTCATGGGAACCGAGTCTTATAGCCAGTCAGTCAGAAGCACAGGAAAAATAACCTGAGGCTTGGGATCTAATGTTTCCTTCAAGTATATAGCATCAGAATTGAATTGAATCAGGATACAACCAGCTGGTGTCCACTGAAGAATTCATTGTTTGGTGTGTAGAAAAAAACAGACAAACAAACTTTTGGTCACAGAACTCATCAGTGTTAATTGTTATGGTGTGAGAGCAAAGGAAAACCAATTTGAGTTGTTTTTCCACTCACAAAGTGGTCTAACATATGATCTATCCTAGAGAATGTTTCATGTGTAGTTGAGAAAAACGTGAATTCTGTAGCTGAAGGATGGAATGTTCTGTGTATGTCTGGTAGGCCCGTTTGGTCTACAATGTAGTTTAAATGTGATGTCTCACTGAACTTTTCGCCTGGATGGTCTGTCCATTGCTAAAAGTGGGGTACTAAAGTCCCCTAATGTTATTGTCTTGCAGTCTATCTCTGCCTTCAGATCTATTAATACTTGATTTTTATATTTAGGTGCTTCAATGTTGGGTACATATATATATTTACAATTGTTATATGCTCTTACTAAATTGACCTCTTTATCAATATATAAAGACCTTTTTGGTCTCTCTTCACATTTTTTTTTTTTTTTTGAGACGGAGTTTCGCTCTGTCACCCAGGCTGGAGTGCAGTGGCATGATCTCGGCTCACTGCAACCTCCACCTCCTGGGTTCAAGTGATCCTCCTGCCTCAGCCTCCCGAGTAGCTGGGATTACAGGTGCCCACCACTACTGATGAGTCAGGTCTGGTGGTGAGAAATTCCCTCATCTTCTGTTTATCTGAGAAAGTCTCTCTCTCCTTCATTTCTTAAGGACAGTTTTGCTAGTTAAAGTATTCATGATTGGTAGGGTTTTTCATTTTTTTTTTTTTTCAGTACTTTAAATATATGATCCTACTCTTTTCTGGCCCATAAGGTTTCGGCTGAGAAGTCCACTTCTAGGTACATTTGAGCCCGTTTTTATGTTATGTTATTGCTTCTTTTCTTTTGCTGCCTTCAGGATCCTCTCTCTGCCTCTGATTTTTGACAGTTTGATTATAATATGTCTTGGGGTAGTCTTACTTGGATTGAATCTGATTGTAGAGTTTTGATTTTCCTTTACCTGAATATTTTTATCTTTCTTCAGGTTTGGAAAGTTTTTTGCTATTACTTCCTTAAGTAAGTCTTCTATCTATTTATCTTTCTCTTCTCCCTCTTGAACTCCAATGACTCAAACATTTTGTTGTTTTGATGCTGTCTCACAAATCCTGTGAGCCTTCTTCATTTCTTTTCATTCTTTTTTTTCTCCTATGACTACATATTTTCAAATAACTTGTTTCAAGTTCACAGATTCTTCCTTTTGCTTGATAATTCTACTGTTGATACTCTACATTGTATTTTTCATTTTTTTCATTGTATTTTTCAGCACTAGGATTTCTGGTTTTTTTTTAAATTATTTCAATCTCTCTATTAGATTTCCTTTTCTGGCCACTTAATATTTTCCTAATTTCATTGAATTGTTTCTCTGTGTTTTCTTGAACTTTGCTGAGCTTCCTTAAAAAGTTATTTTGAGCTCTCTGTCAGGCTATTCATACATCTCCATGTCTTTGTGGTTGGTCACTATCACTTTGTTTTGTCTCTCTGGTGATGTCATGTTTCCCTGATGGTTCTTGATCCTTGTGGCCATGCTCAATGTCTGTGCATTTGAAGAAGTAGGCACTTCATAGATTGACTCTGTGTGGGAATGCTTTCCAACAGTAAGCTTTTCCAGAGATCCTGGGAAGACCTACTGGCATGATCCCTATGCCCCAGATCACTGTGGCCATTGGAGCACTAGGAGCATCCTAAGCCTAGTACTACTATGGCCAGGCTGGAATCCCTTGGCCACGAGATTGGTTTAGTGTTGGAATGCACCCAATGCCAAGTAGCCACTGAGGCATGCCTACCTCTGAGGTTTGTTCAGAGACCAAGGACACTCTAGTCAGCTGGCAGTGATGCAAGGTGCTGACTGAGTTTGCCTCACATGGGTTATAGGTTCCCACCTCGTGCTGGGGTGAGTCTGATGTCCATAGGCACCAGCCTGCAGTCAGGGGTCATTGGAGTCTTCCCAGTGCTGGATTTTACTCTGGTGGGCCCAGAGTTGGGGTCCAAGGCAAAGTTCTATGTTTATTTCCCCTCTTTCCCCCAAGTACACAGTATTTCTCATCACACTGTGCTGTCTAGAATGGGGTAAGAGGTGACACAAGTAATTTAAAACTGACGTCCTCTTCAATATATCTTTTCTTATTAATATACTTATAACTAGGCACTGTGTTCTCTCACTTGGTTTCTTTAGCTCTTGTTAAGGTATTTTCATGTGCAAATAGTTGTTCAAATTGATGTTTATATGGGGGAATGATTGCTAAAGAGTCCTATTCCACCTTTGTGCTCCACCCTCCAACCAATCTATTGATTTAAAATAAAAGTGTTAAGGCAATTTTATAAAGAACTACAAGTTATTCAACAACACATGATGGAACAACTGGTTATACATATGCAAAAAAAATGAACTTCAACCCTTTACACATACACAAAAAAAATTACCTATAATTGGATTATTGGCTTAAATGTAAAAGCTAAAACTGTAATACCCCTAGAAGAATATATATAAGAGCATCTCTGACTTTGACATAGGCAAAGATTTATTGGGACATAAGTAGAACAAGCCATGAAAGAAAATCTGATAAATTGGACATTAACAAAATTTAAATATTTTGCTTTTAGAAAGATATCATCAAGATAATGAAAGACACACCATACAGTAAAAGAAAATGTTTGCAATATACATATCTAACAAAAGACTGCTATGTAGAATATGTAAAGAACGGTTACAATTCAATAACTTTAAAAGTCAATTAAAATCTGGGCAAATGATTTGAACAGACCCCTCATGAAAAATAAAAAGATATTAAAATGGCCAATAGAGTCATGCAAAGATGTTCAATATTAGTAACCATAAAATAAATGCAGATATAAAACATAGTGAGATAATGATTACACACCTATAAGTATGGCTAAAATTAAAAAGACCAATAATAAATCCTGGCAAGAATGTGGAGAAATTAAAACTCTCATACATTACTAGTGGGAATGTAAAATAATGTAAACTACACTGGTATATTTCTGGCAGATTTTTTTTCAAAATTCAAACATGTGCCCACCATATTACCTGTTCATTCCAACTGTATTTATCTAAGAGAAATGAAAACATATCCACAGAAGACTTATGCATAAATGTTCACAGTGGCCTTATTTGCAAATATGTATTCAAAATTGCCAAAAAAACTGGAAACAACTGAAAGGTCAATTAACAGTTAAATCAATCAATTATCCACACAAAGGAATACGACTCAATAGCAAAAAGGAAAACACAACATTGACAAATCTCAGAATCATTCTACTAATTGAAAGTACAAGATGGGCACAAAAGAATACTACATACTACAAAAAATACTGCTACTAATATAAAATGCTAAGTAATCTCTGGTGACAAAGAACAGATCAGTGATTGCCCGCAAATGAGGATGAAGGAAGGGATGGACTAAAGATACATGAGAAATATTTTGGAAATGGTGAAAATGTTTTGTATCTTGTTTGTGGTGATGATTCACAGGTATATACAACTGCCATAATTTATTAAATTACATGTTTTAAACTGATGCAATTAATTGTACATAAATTATTCTTCCATAAAGCTGAAAGGAGATAACTAAAAACAGCATCAGAAACATTGGGTTTTAACACACATAACATTAGAATATGCATCCACACAAATAAACACAAAACAAAATATAAACAGAGATCTTTCACACTGAAAATAATGTTTTTTAAAAAATACTTCTATCTAAGTCAAAATCATCAGTAGAAAGAAGAATGTTTTCGTGATTTTACTACTAGCGAAACCTCTTACTCACTTTGAGCACCAGAAGTTTCCTTTCCCAAATCATTATTGTCATATGCCTGAGCAAGCATATACACCCACACATAAAAACAGGCATGACCCTGCAGACCCATACTTCATGGAGGTTTCCTCCAGTGAGACAAAAAAAAAGGCTCTCAGAAACAGCACATGATTTTCTTGTCATGTTAAGCAGTTTTTATTTAATGTAAAATGCTGTGCTCTGCATGCTCTACTCTCTAAAAAAAACTTAGAGATAGACATTTCTGCAACGTCACCATTCCTGTTAAAAACCCCTAATTCGGTAACTATTACTAACCAAAAGAGAGCAAGTATTATACCATACTTAAATAGTTAACATTGTTGCTAATATTCATGTATTATTTCTAATGATGGAGATGGAAAATAAAAAAGAAGTTCTGCCCTTTCCTTCAGTTGCAGGTCTTCCGGAGGAATACAAACAGATAAGTTAGGAGTCTGATAAATGAACTTCAAACTGAAACTCAACTTGGGGCAAAACTGTGGACTAACGAATGTGGCTATGACTTTATCAGATAACCATATTAGCTGCAAAAGAGAACAGTGTATAATGGTTTATTTTGACATTTCTATGGACATTTCTTTATAGGACTTGGGGCCTCTGTGCTGGTACTGAGCTAAGTAGAATTCATTCTAATTGCTTATTGTAAACTTTACTGTGATTTAAATTTTAATGAATTTACTACAGTACTTCAAAAAATAGAACATAAAATAAATATACATTGAAATCTAAAAATATCCTGGCATTTTACCTGAGGAAAACCAAATAAAATTATTTCACTCTACATTTGGTGAGTCAAGCTTTTAACCCTTGAAGTCTATTTTCTTTCAAACTTCAATAAGTCTCAAAGTTTCAAAGTTTCTTTCAAACTTTAATAGATCTTCAAAGTTATTATAATGAATGTAGAGATGAACCACTATGAATTATGCATGGATTAAGCATTAAACAATTTCTAATGGCTTGAAAATATGACTTTTACTTCTTCCTTTCTTGCTTCTTTCTTGAATCTTTTTAGATAACTAAACGAATTATATGCTCTCATTTTCCCTTCAGCAAAACATGTACTATCTTTCTTACTTTAAAAATAAGGAATTACTCATGAAAGGTATGCAAAGTACATTACAAACTGAAGCTTTAAGCCCACTGTAATTACACAGTATATATTTCTCCTAAAGATTCAGGGTTTCATTTTAAATGAATGCAACTTTGTAACTGAGATCTTATTCACAAACAGATTCAGAAATTCAAATTAGGCTGACAGAGCAACTTTTCTGTAGCTACACTAAGCATATGGCTTTTTCCTCATCACCAGTATGGTAAAGTCAATAGAACACAGAAACTTTTACTATGAATTTCCTGGAAAATTAATGTTTGCCATTGTAACAATATGAAATGCAACATGGTTTTCAAATGAAAACTCTCTCCTTCACATGTCTCACAGCATATTATCTTAATTGTTCTTCCTTCCAACAAGGAAATAAGTTGAAATCGTAAATATGAGATTTGTTTTGTAAAATCATGTTTGTTACTTATGAACCAGAATTTTTCTAGGGAACAAACTATTTTGCAGACATTTGAAATTTTAGGATAAAAGTTATTTATATTAAGGAACAACAAATACAAACTTAAACATGGATAAATCTCTAAAATAATGAATAAATGAAAGAAGTTATAAAATCATATACACAGTATGATTCCGTTTCTGCACCAATACCAAAAAAAGACAATATAAATGTTATTGTTTGGGATTCCACAAACACATGATAAAATGTAAAGAAAAGCAGGGAGTAACTATACCTCAAAGGGAATAACTATACCTCAAAAGATAATGACTACGTTTAACGCAGAGGTTGGGGGATATAACTGGGGAGGAAATGGCAGTAGTCTGTTCTTAACTGACATAAGTATTCACAGTATAATTATTATTTAAAATGTATGTAAATCAAATGCAATATATATTTTATGTTAATATAAAAGAAAACTAAAGTACAAAGAAATACAAAAAGTACAGATTAGTACTTACTTTTTTATTTTTAGCATTTTAAAACACAATTTGAAGAATTGATTATGCTGTATGTTTCATGTTCCGACACTTTATGAAACTGATTTTAATTTTTAAACACATCTAGTTAGTAGCAGATGTGAACACCAAATTAGATGTTCAGCAAAAAAAAGAAAGGCGGGCGGTGAAAACTCAAAGTTCTGGCAGAGACAATTATAGAAAAAAATTTCAAAATTAAAATAAGAAAAGTGACTAATATTTTGGCCCTTTCATTTATTACCCCTGGAATCTCGCAGGGGTTACTTTCTAAACCCTAGTTGCTTCATCTACATATATGAGAATGTAGTATCTGATACCACTTGCCACTCAAATTCCTGGAGGGAAAGATGATTATATATGTCATTGATAAATACTATTATAAGAACTAGCTAGCCATGTGGGAAAATAAAACAAAATCAGATTCTTATTTCACTTCTCATACCAAAATAAAATAAATAAAAGATTTAAATATAAGAAACAAAAACAAAAGTACTGGAAGAAAATATAAGTAATTTTGTTGTTTTTGTTTTTTTTAATCTTAAGAGACAGCCTGACTAACATCGTTGTTTGCCAGACTGAGAGGTTTCCTGGGATGCAGGACATTCCATGCTAAAACTAGGAAAAAAGTTCCAGGCAAACTGATGCAGTTTTTCACCTTCAATTAAGAAATCTTTCTAATCCTGATATAAAACATGGAAACCATAAAGAAAAATATTGAGAAGTCTGACTCTAGAGAGAATTTGAAACTTCTGTATGACAAAAAAGAAAAAGAAAAATACATAAAACAATGTTGCCAAGCAAAAACCTGGGGAATGTTTGCAACATTTAAAACAAAGAAAGATTAATTTTCTTCAAAAAATATGCTGAAAACACATGAACCAATAAAAAAAGAGATGGACAACTCAACTGAAAAAATGGGCAAAGGTATGAACAGGCTGACAAAAGATTAAATATGTTAAAGGTGACACAGTAATTATAATTCTACTCTTTAGGTACAACATAGGGATAAAAATAAAACATACAGATGGGTTATAAAAAGAAAGGTGAGAAGTGTTTAGAAAAGTAGGAAGTTTCAAAACAACAATTCAATAATGAATTTGATGGAAGGACAAAATTTAGAAAGCAGTAAGTATTATGCTAATAAATTTGGCCCTACTTTTTAAGGCAATATAAAGTCTGTGGCAGTTATTAGGGTGTATTGCTAATAAAAGCCATCTTACTGGCCTGTTTTGTTTTTTGGGTTTTAATTTTTGGTTTTGGGAGTATTTTTTTGAGGCAATTACTGTCACAAACTCCAAAACTACTTAATGAAGACAAACATGTTCCCTAACCTAAGGCAGATGTTGTGTAAATGTGTATCACTGATCACAAAGGACAATACATTCAATGGATATGTAGACACTGAATACATATGCATATTAACATATGCAAAGATATGTGTACCAGGATACTAATTCTAGCATTGTTTTCCAAAAAATCTGACACAGTTTTGAAACTGTAATTTAAAAAAACTGAAAACAACCAAAAAGCTGGTCTGTAGGGGGCTAATTAAATGTTATCAAATAATATACAAGAAGAGCTTTGAAAACCACAAAATATCATTAAATTGTCATTTTTGAATGCTTATAAATGAAGATGCAGCACTAAGTACTTTACCTGCATCATTGGGCTTAATCCTTATTGCCACCCCAGACACTAGGTCAGGGATTATAGGTAAAATGTCCAAATTTTATTATTAATTGGCAGCTAACTTTTTAAAAAAAATTACATGTATCAGCTAAAGTGTCTGCAAGCCAGATATAACCCATGAGCTGCCAAATTGCAGTCTCTGATGTTAGAGAAAAGGCCAAAACTAGAGCCTTGAAAACATTTATAATTAGAGATCTCTTGGAGGCATTGCACTTTACAAAAACAGTGAAGAAAAGTAGGATATAAATGCAATGCCACAAAGCCAAGTGATATGGTTTGGCTGTGTCCCCACCCAAATCTCATCTTGAATTCCCATGTGTTGTGGGAGGGACCTAGTAGGAGGCACTTGAATCATGGGGGCAGGTCTTTCCCATGCTGTTCTCATGATAGTGATTAAGTCTCACAAGATCTGACGGTTTTAAAAACAGGAGTTTCCTGCACAAGCTCTCTTCTCTTGTCTGCTGCCATGTAAGATGTGCCTTTCACCTTCCACCATTATTGTGAGGCCTTCCCAGTCACATAGAACTCTAAGTCCATTAAAACTCTTTCTTTTGTAAATTGCCCAGTCTCAAGTATGTCTTTATCAGAAGTGTGAAAACAGACTAATACAGCAAATTGGTACCAGAAGAGTGGGGCACTGCTGAAAAGATACCCAAAAATGTTGAACTGACTTTGGAGGGTAGCAGGTAGAGGTTGGAACAGTTTGGAGGGCTCAGAAGAAGAAAGGAAAATGTGGGAAAGTTAGGAACATCCTAGAGACTTGTTGAATGGCTTTGGCCAAAATGCTGATAATGATACGGACAATGAAATCCAGGCTTAGGTGGTCTCAGATGGGGATGAGGATCTTGTTGGGAACTGGAGCAAAGGTGACTCTTGTTATGTTTTAACAAAGATACTGCCAGCATTTTGCTCCTGCCCTAGAGATGTGTGGAACTTTGAACTTGAGAGAGATGATTTAGGGTATCTGGTAGAAGAAATTTCTAAGCAGCAAAGTATTCAAGATGCGACTTGGGTGCTGTTAAAGGCATTCAGTTTTATAAGTGAAGCAGAGCACAAAAGTTGATAAAATTTGCAGCCTGACAGTGTCATAGAAAAAAAAAATCCCACTTTCTGAGGAGAAATTCAAGCCAGCTGCAGAAATTTGCCTAGGTAACAAGGAGCTGAATGTTAATCCCCAAGACAAGGTGGAAAATGTCTCCAGGGCATGTCAGAGGCCTTCACAGCAGCCCCTCCCATCACAGGCCTGGAGGGTTAGGAGAAAAAAATGGTTTTGTGGGCCAGGTCAGGAGTCCATATGCTGTGTGCAGCCTAGGGACTTGGTTCCCTGTGTGCCAGCTGCTCCAGCCATGGCTGAAAGGGGCCAACATACAGCTCAGGCCATGGCTTCAGAGGGTGCAAGCCTCAAGCTGTGGCAGCTTCCATGTGGTGTTGAGCCTGCCAGTGCATGGAAGTCAAGAATGGGGGTTTGGGAACCTCTGCCTAGATTTCAGAGGATGTACAGTAATACCTGGATGTCCAGGCAGAAGTTTGCTGCAGGGGCAGGACTCTCATGGAGAACCTCTGCTAGGGCAGTATGGAATGGAAATGTGGGGTTGGAGCCCCCACACAGAGTCCCTACTGAGGCACTGCCTAGTGGAGCTGTGAGAAGAGGGCCACCATACTCCAGACCCCAGAATGGTAGATCCATTGACAACTTGCACTCTGCCCCTGTAAAGGTCACAGACACTCAATGCCAGCTCATGAAAGCAGCCAGGAGGGTGGCTGTACCCTGCAAAGCCACAGGGGCAGAGCTACCCAAGACCATGGGGACCCTCCTCTTGCATCAGCATGACCTGGATGTGAGACATGGAATCAAAGGAGGTCATTTTGGAGCTTTAAGATTTGACTGCCCTGCTGGATTTTGGACTTGCATGGGGCCTGTAGCCCCTTTGTTTTGACCAATTTCTCCCATTTGGAATGACTGTATTTCACAATGCCTGTACCCCCATTGTATCTAGGAAGTAACTAACTTGCTTTTGATTTTACAGGCTCATAGGCAGAAGAGACTTGCCTTGTCTCTGATGTGACTTTAAACTGTGGACTTTTGAGTTAATGCTGAAATGAATCAAGACTTTGGGGAACTGTTGGGAAGGGATGATTGGTCTTGAAATGTGAGGACATGAGATTTGGGAGGGTCCAGGGGCAGAATGATATGGTTTGGCTGTGTCCACATCCAAATCTCATCTTAAATTCCCACGTGTTGTGGGAGGTATTTGAACCATGGGGGCAGGTCTTTCCCATGCTGTTCTTGTGATAGTGAATAAATCTCATGAGATCTGATGGTTTTAAAAATGGGAGTTTCCCTGCACAAGCTCTCTTCTCTTGTCTGCAGCCATGTGAGATGTGCCTTTCACCTTCTACCATTATTATAAGACCTTCCCAGCCATGTGGAACTGTAAGTCCATTAAACCTCTTTCTTTTGTAAATTGCCCAGTTTCAGGTATGTCTTTATCAGCAGTGTGAAAATGGACTATTATACCAAGTAAAGAGGAGGTTTCAAGACAGGAAGAATCAAGATTAAATCATATGCAGAACAGTCTTAACCTAAGAATTAAGAAGCTTTGTGATTTGGTAACAAGAAGATCATCAGTGACCTTAAGATCTGAAAGAGAGTAAGTTTAACAAAGAAGTACAAGTGGAAACCAGATTGAAAGGGGCTGATCAGAGGTAATGGAGTCAACAAATGTAGACTTAAGTCTTTCAAGAATGCTGACCTTGAAAGAATGGGAGAAATGAGACTGGTTTCATCCTTTCATGTTAAACTTGAAAGAGAGAGAGATGGGGCAACATCAGGAGCTATGAGGGATCAAGAAGATATTTAACAGGCCAGGCATGGTGGCTCATGCCTGTAATCCCAGCACTCTGGGATGCCGAGGCAGGTGGATCACGAGGTCAACAGATGGAGACCATCCTGGACAACATGATGAAACTCCGTCTCTACTAAAAATACAAAAATTAGCTGGGCACAGTGGCGCACGCCTGTAGTCCCAGCTCCTCGGGAGGCTAAGGCAGGAGAATTGCTTGAACCCAGGAGGCAGAGGTTGCAGTTAGCCGAGATCGCACCACTGCACTCGAGCCTGGCGACAGAGTGAGACTCCATCTCAAAAGAAAAAAAAAAGATATTTAATAATAAAGGGGAACACAGCATGTTTGTAGACAGAAAGAGGGAGAGCCAGAAGTTACTAGAATGAGGAAGCTAACTGGTCAGGCAGGATCCCAGAGGTACTAGAAGGAATGAGACAAAAAGCAGGTTTGCTTTTAAAGAGATTGATATTTCATCTCTGAGAGGCGAACAAAAAGGTTAAGAATTATTACAGACACAAGAAACATTTTGAGGAAGCAGGTTAACAAACACTTGTTAGTACCTACTTAGTGGCAAGTAGCTCGGCAGAGCTCAGGGAATGGCAGCTTGAATGAGGCAAGGTTCCTGCTCTCAGAAACCTTACCATCTGTGGACATTAAAGAAGTCCACACTGGACAATGGTAAATCAGGAGGTGAGCAGCTGTCTGCAAAGGAAATGAGGATAGTTGGGGTGATGAGGAAACTAGGAAAGACCTAGAGCAGTGTTCTGAACCCTGGCACCCATCAGAAAACCCTGAAAAGACTTGTGAAAGTCTAGATCCCTATACACTGGAAAAGTCTGATTAAGCAGGCTTAAGCTCTATAGGCAATTTTAGGCTCTATAGGGAGTTCTGTCTGGCAACTACCTTAAAATCACTGGTTTAGAACCATCCCTGGGGAACAACTAGGGAAGAGCCAATTAAAGATAAGTAGGATAATTTTGTGAAGAATAAAAATAGCTAGATTTTATTATTGGGGATCTGTAAACATTTACCATTTGGACATTTTTTTCAAGGAATTATCAGCACCACAAAATGAATCATATAACCAGATATTCTCATATTATGTAATGGATAAACCTTTAGGAAAAGGTAGCATTCATGGTAAGGTAACAAAATGGCAGAGAAAAAGAAAAGAAATTACTGAACACCTTAAAACTACATAAACACATACTGGTTGGAAAAATATTTCTTCCAAATCACTGAATTTTCTCAAATAATATCCTTTGAACACATTCAGGTTTCCCCTATGTTGGTAGAAAAAAAAAAACTTTATTAGATGCTTACTTCCCCTTCTAGCTAGGATCCCTTCTCCTTTCTTTGCTGCCTAACTTCTTGAATGAGTGGTCTGTGCCCACAGCCTCAATTTCCTTCCCACTCACTCCCTCCTCAATACCAGCAATCTCGCTGCTCCCACGTCTATCTACTCAAACTGCAATTTTCAAGGTCACCAGCCCTTTTATAGTCAAGCTTTTGGCCTCTTTTCAGTGCTGGTGTTCCTAAGTTGTTGATGGATTTTAACACAATTAACCACTTTCTTCTCCTTCTAAAACCCCTTTCCTAGCCTTCCCACTACACCCATGCATTCCCTTCTCTGTCTCTTTCCCTATCTTCACTGCCTCCTCTCATATATTTTCTACAAGCTATCTTTCTCCTTGGGCATCGTAATGTCAGTATTCACCAAAGTCTCAGCTGCTTTTTCTCTTTACACTTTCTCTCCTCTTGCTCCTTAACCCCTTGAACTTCAACTAGATCTCTATACAGGTGATTTCCTCTTGTTTTCACCACTCCAGTCATAGTTTAGCTCCCTCTGTCCTTCATTAAGCCTGTTTGACCTGCCTGGAATGTTTATCCCTCAACTCTTCTTACCTCGCTGTTTCTGTTCATCTTCATCTTAAACATCACTTCCTTGGAGGAGCCTAACTTGATCCTCAAACCAGATTAGACTCACCAGTTACACATTTCTATGTCACCCTATATTTATCCTTATGCACTTGCGCATTGTTTAATTATTTGCAGTAATTGATTTAATATCTATCTTTCCCACCAGATTTAAATTCCATGAGAGCAGGACCTATGTCTGTCTTGATCAAATGTCCACAGCATGAAGCACAGTGACTGATACATGACAGACACTCTAAATTACTGGCTGACAGAATAACCCACCCACATTTTTGCTTTGACTTATTTTTCCTAAGCAAGAATCTCAAACATTTAGCTGAAATTTGTCCCCACTTGAATACTTGCTGTCATTTCAAGTGTATCACATCTAAAAGACATAGATTTTTCTCCCACACACTTGCCCCATCCCTTTCCCCTCTAATTTTTGTACTATGAAGGTGTTCAAAACTCAGCTCACACCCCAGAAAGCTGTTTGATATGATTAGCAATCCCACATACACACTTGGGCTTTATTTGCCCCATGTATAAAATGAAAGATTTTTAATTTGAAGGTTCCTAAAGTACTTCCTTTGTGAAGGCTTTATACTTCTTAATAGTGTCATACATCTTCATTTCACAAATGAGGAAATTACTGTCAAAAGAAGTTAAGCAATTTCTAAAGATGAAACAGCTAGTGGTTAGAATTACATAACTGATCTTTAGACCCAACACAGAGTTATATTTGTATTTAGAAATTGGTATCTATTGGTATCTAAATTAGTGTCTAGAAATTTTACTAGAAATTATGGGAAAGAAGAACGAAATTTTACTGAGAAAAGTGAAATGTACCAAAACATTCAATGCATGGGTAACATTTAGAAAGCAAAAAAGCATAATAATATATTCAATCTTAACATCCAAGACAATATAACCACTAAGTCAATATTAGTTGTAAAAATACAATAATATTTTAAAATATGTATATTTGAAGAAAGTTTCACTTCTTTATGGGCCAGTGAGTTTCCACAGGTAAGAACTATAAATTGTGGACAAAATATAAAAACAACTACCTGAGGTTACTGGAAAGTGGAGGAAGCAGAAAAATTCTTGAAGGGTGTCAATGCTTGGAAGAAGGAAATAGGGGATCAGAGTTGTGGGTGTAGGTTCCCATTATTTCCCCATTTTTACCGATGTTAGTCCCAGAGAGGGCTGCAGATGATACCACATTAGGCAGCTACTCTAATGGAAAGCCCACAGTTTTCTGAAGAACCAGCAGGCAGATTTTAGGGCAACTTTACTCTCTGAAAAGTGACAGAGTCAGAGTAAAAGAGTTCCAAATTCTGCATACACTCTACCCATATCTCTGATGACTCTAAACCACACATTGCAGGTCACAGTCAAAGCAGATTAGCTACCAGTAAAAGAACTCAGATTTGAGATGCTGTCCAAGGGGTAGAGTTTGCAGTTTGGGTCCAACCAAGTAAAATATCAACACAGCAATATAACAGAATCTGTGCAACATTCAAAACCCAAATAAAACTATTTAATTTACAAAGAACCAAGAAAATGTGGCCTATGCTTAGGAGAAAATACATTAAGGGAGACTAACAACTTCAAGTTGACCCAGACACTCGCATTCTCAGACAAGAGTCTTACAGCAACATTCAGCTATGCTTAGTGACATAAAGAAATATATACTCACAATGAATGAATAAAAACACAGAAAAATCTCAGCAGAGAAAAAAAACTTTTAACAAATAAATGGAAATCTTAAAATTGAAAAATACAATATCTAAAATAATATATTAACTAGGGCTTTACAGAAGAATGAAGAGGAGAAAGGAAATTGTAATTGTCAGTGAACTTGAATATATAGCAATAGAAATTATTCAATCAAAAGAACAGAGAGACAAGATATTGGGGAAAATATGTATAAAAAGGGAACTAAGAACTAAGAGAACTCCTCACTAGCAGACCTACACTACTAGAAACAATAACAGAAATTATTCAGGATGAAAGAAAATAATACCAGGTAGAAACTTGGAAATTCAAGAAGGAATTAAGAGTATTAGAAATGACAACTAGAGTGGACATAGTATGTGCCACCAACAGTTGCCTCTGACTTTTTGTTCCTGCCACTAGGATCACTGTCAACAGACAGTCTTCAGTTTTCAGCCTCTCCAGGGATGACTTCAGTTACTTAGACCAAAGTCAGACCCTTTCCAGGGGAGCCCATATCCAACGACTGATTTAGATGGAGTTATAAAGGAACAGCCATTTTTATTCAATGCAGGGCCTCTCTAAGGCCAATCTAGCTCCTGAGCTCCCTGTGGGGTCAGTGAGGGTGTCAGTTGGTTGAGATTGCAGGTAGACTTCTCCCTCTGCTCACAAGCATACTGTACACAAAACTCTATCTCAGAGTCTAACTTCCAAGAGAACCTGCAACAGCAACAATAACTCAAAGTAACAGACATTTTTGAAGAAAATTATTTCTTCAAAAGTGGAAAAACTGGCCAGGTACAGTGACTCACGCCTGTAATTCCAACACTTTGGGAGGCCAAGGCAGGAGGATTGCTTGAACCCAGGAGTTCAAGACCAGCCTGGGCAACATGGGAAAACCCTGTCTCTACAAAAAATACAAAAAAAAAAATTAGCCTGGCGTGGTGGTGCACACCTGTAGTCCCAGCTACTTGGGAGTCTGAAACAGGAGGATAACCTGAGACTGGGAGGTCAAGGCTGCAGTAAGCCATGATTGCACCACTGCACTCCAGCCTGAGTGATAGATAGAGTAAGACCCTGTCTCAAAAAAGAAATAGAAAAACTTTTAGCCCTGCTTTAATCCTGGAACTTTTTGGTATTGCTTTCCTTAAAGATTTTGGTCCTAGAATGGGGTCTAGGCATATAAATTCTATGTAGAAAAACTCTGAAGTTGTTGCTTAGTGTTAATGCATGAACAATATCATTTCTTCCTGGGGGGAAAAAGGGCTGATTGTGACTGTGTCTATTATATGAATTATATAAATCAGTGATATTTATTACCATTATTATTATTTAAAAAGTAATGATTGTTGACTTGATTCTTAGGGCCTACTAGCATCACATAGTCCAAAGGTATTTTATAACCACAGATCTGCTCCCAAATCCCAGTCAGCAATTGACAAATGTATGTGAGTGATAATAAGGCAGAAGAGGTAAAAACATGTTGATGGCTACTACATTTTTCAGACACAAATGGTTTTTCAGACACAAATGGTTAATTTTTCAGACACAACATAAAATCAAACAACAACTGGGTCATTTTATTAACTAAATGCCATTAACTGAAATATTCATGACCTTATTGGGAGGAAATTTATCTACGGTAAACTCTCTCATTTGTTCCCATTACCTTATTGCCATCCTCAAGCTACTAGCATCCCTCTATCTAATGTCTCATCTTAATCCTCAATTTCAGAAGAGTATCTCCTCCTACATGAGGTTAAGCACTCAATTGATACTCCACTTTGGCTCCCTTCCTGTCTCTTCTCAGATCTTCCTATCTTTTATAGACTGGAAAGAGATAAGTATGGTTCTTAGAGCCCAAATCCAAATATCTCTAGTGCTTATTCTATTGTTTTTGTCCATATGTTTATTCTGTTCGTGGGATGGATCATCTACTTCATGAATGATTCACAAACACTAGAGTTTTCTATACAGTCATCCCTCAGTGTCCTTGGGGGATTAGTTCTAGACCCCCAGAGATGGCAAAATTCAAGGATGCTCAAATCCCTAATATAAAATGGTGTAGTATTTCATATAACCTATGTACAATCTCTCACATACTTTCAATCATCTCTAGATTGCTATAAAACCTAATACAATGTAAATAATACATAAGTAGCTATTATATTGAATTATTTAGGAAATGACAAGAACAAAATCTGTACATGTTCAGTACTAATGAAATCATCTATTTTTTCCCTTTATATTTTCAACTGAAGTTGGTTGAATCCAGGGATGCAATACAGAGGGCTGACTGTATTTCCAAGTATCTGTAGGAATTTTCCTCCTACTTGTCCTCCCTTCCTATACTGAATTTAATATCTTCCTCCACAACGAAACTCCCTTCTCAGTCACATATATACCTCAGCGGCATCACAGAACTTTTTTCAAATGAGAACCCCAGGGCAGAAGCTCTTGACTCATGTTTCAAAATAAATATTTTACCTAGTGCCACCGCCACTCAATGGGACACTGTTACCACATTATTCTCCAAAAAATCCTACTTAATTATAAATTTTCCTGTTCACCAAAGAACAGGTGGTTCCTCATTGTCTACTGACTAATACCCAGGTTCTTTAATTTAGCTATTAAGGACCCCCAAAATCCAGCCTTATTTCCTACTATTATTTAACACACAACCTCTGTTCCTGCAAGCTACAGCTCTTTCTCTCTCTGAAGCACCTTGCATTTGCACATGCTACACATCCCATCCTTCCAATTCCTTTCTCTGCATTTCCCCATTTATCCAAACCTGTCATTCAAAGCCTAGCTCAAGACCCATCTCCATAAAATCCTCCACAACTCCAACCCACTGTAATTTCTCCCTCCTTTAGATTTGTACTAGTTTCATATACAATTTCAAGATTTACTGATTTTAAATGTTCACCAATTGTTTCATCTTACCTTTGTCTTTCTAATTTAGATTACTAATAACTTTTAGGCACTATTCTACACACACACACAGACATTAATAAGGACTTTTAATTAATTTATTAATTGCTTAAGCATGAACATTTAGAGAAAAACACACCTATAAATTATTATAACATGTAAATTCACAAATATGCAAACTAGAAAAGGAAGATAGGACTAAAGTTATTAATAAGGACAAAACCCTTCTTTTGCACAATTGTTTTGAATCTTTTTCCACTGTTTGCAAATCTGCCAAAGCTACCTTAGAGCCCTGTCTTGATTTTTATCTCCTCTTCTTGTTACTGCCTGTCCTCTAGTGGAAGACAACAATAAATGAATAAAAATTAGCCCAAAGAAGGAAAGAAGTGAAGGGTTCCTTTTTAGTAACTCATAATCACAAAATCAGTAACTTTTATAAAAGATGGAATAATTTTAATTGGAACACCAAAATATAATTTGAACACACACACAAAAATCTAGAAGACAATAGGGCTAAAAAAAAGGAGGAAGAAGTGGCACAGGGTACGGGGAGTGTCCGGGAAGGGGACCAGGTACAAGGCTGGGAATATAGCTCTGATGTACACAATTTAGGTTGTTTTTATTTTTCCCCTTAGGTTTTTTCTGGATAAATCTTGTTTACTAACTGCCAAGCTGCTTGAAGTTATAAGCAAATAAGTAGACAAAAAGAAAATAGGGAAACCAAATGAATACTATGTTTTACATTTAAGTCATTAGCTCCCTTGTTCCTTTGTGAATTTACCTTGTACAAAGCGAGTTCTTTCTGTTTGGCAGTATTAATAACATAGCAGTTTTAGCAATAAAGACATAAAGTCATATTTCCCCAAGTGGTATGCTTCTCATTATTCTAAATCATGTCATGGTTAACCTATCACACCAAATCACTACATGTAAAGTAATATGCTTTTTTAAATCCTGATTTTAAACATTTAATAACTTTACAATAACATAAGCATAGACTTCATAGATCTGCTATATGTAGTCTTTCCTAGTTGTGTTCAGAAATAGTTTTAAAATTTAAACCTTTCAACCTTTAAAATTGAAAATTACAAATTATGTTTTAATCATTTTTTTTCCTTTTCCCAGGAGTAACAGTGCAATTTGACATAAACAGCTCCTTGCCTATCTGGCTGCCCCAGCCAAGCTGGGTCCTACACAAGTTGCTATAAGAGCTTTCTACAACAAGATCTGAACTACTGAAAGATTCAGATCACTTGACTTTTTAGGTGAGTAACAGTCTATTAAGGCTAAAACTAAGTATTGGCTTGACTTTTTTCACTGATGCTCTTCAGTGAAAAGCACAATGGTTAAATAATGAGGAAAATTGCCCACTCAAATGTTTAGTGGTGCTTACTGATGTATATCATTACTGATTGTGATTCTGGCACATACTAGTCATATCTAACCTTGGCCAAATCATTTCACCTCTCTACGCCTCCATTTCTACCTTTGTAAAATGGAGAGGTGTCTTCCATGTCTACTTCACTGGGTTGCTGTGCAGATCAAAGGGAAAAAAGCATGTGAAAATTCTCAATAGAAAGGTGCAGTCAAAGAGTGTAGTTATTTTGCATGTGTTCACTAGTAAGATTAACATGTGGAAAGAAGATTTTTTGTGGAAGATAAGCAGCATTTTAAAGTCATTCAGAAATGAGGAAAAATACCTTTTCTTCTTTCAATTATCAAATTATAACATTTAAAACCAACTACACTCTTCCCTTGCAGCTGCTCTGTCTACCAAAAGTGAAACCTGAAAACTCCCTCCCACACCAACTCCTACCAACCTTCTACAGTGAAACCAGGACACCCCCACAGTGGCCCAAGTTCTCTATAACTTCTATAGGAACCTAGATGTTGAAGAGTCTGTTCTCTAACTCGTAGTGTCTCTTACAGCCCACACATCTTGAAGATAAATACAGACATACATCACAGACGCACCACTGTAACTGTAGGCATATTATATTTTTGAAGTGCCTAATCATCGAAAGTGACAGAAAGCAATAAACTGTCCTAATCTATGCCACTGGCAATGTGGACCTAAATGAGTTAGCGTTCTTATCTTAAAAAAAAAAATTAAGAGAGAAGAGGCTGGGTGCAGTGGCTCATGCCTGTAATCCCAATGCTTTGGGAGTCTGAGGTGGGAGAATTGCTTGAAGACAGGAGCTCAAGACCAGCATGGACAATATAGCAAGACTCTATCTCTACCAAAAATTTTAAAAATTAGCCAAGCATAGTGGCGCATATCTGTAGTCCTAGACACTCAGGAGGCTGAGTGGGAGGACTGCTTGAGACCTGGAGTTACAGGCTGCAGTGAGCTACGATTGCACCACTGCACTCCAGCCTGGGCAACAGAGCAAGACCCTGTCTCAAAAAAGGGGGTTGGGGAAGAGAATAAGATAAAGAGAACCTAACTGACTTTGATTGCTGCTAGTATGTATTTGATTTATCCTGCCTTGTTCAAAAAACAGGAGGAAATAAGGAAATGGACAGTAAGACAAATTATAGAGATCTGTATATTGTAGTAGGATACAAAGTACAACAAGCAAGACACCGGAAAAAAGGATAATAAAGTAAACTAGATATGGGAGTAACCCATATTTAGCAACCCCCTATATTTATTATTGCAATTGATTTGTATTGCCCCAGAAGAAAGACAAAAAATAAACTCAGGAAGAGCTGAGACCAGGTTTCTCACTGTTCTCCCAAAGAGAATTCAAACTTACCGGCCACTAAGAAGATAGTCAAAATCAACAGTAGCCCTAGGTTAGCAGTTCTCCAAGGGCAGAGCATTTCTGTTTTCTCTTTTTCTGCCCTTCACTCAGTACTTTTCCTCCACACAGGTACAGAAGGAACTGTGCGCATGGTGAGACCCTCTCTGGTCAACTTCTCAGTACAGGATCCTCTTACCCCATCAACAGTGGGGCACTCCCTTCCTTCTAGCCCCTTCCTTCACGTCTATGTGGTTTAGCCTGGTTAGTAACTTGGACGAACAGAAGCTTTTCTCTGGAACTTGACACAGCAATAGATTTCCTGTATGAAGCCCTGAAGCAAAGACGGAGGAAGCAGATTGATTGAATTATCTCTCAGCTCATTGGTTCTCCTCTCACTTCTGCTGTACACAGACAAACTTTACAGTAAGGCATTGAACGTGTCCAAGATAAACAGATTTGTCTAAACTTGCACCAAAAAGTAAAACAGAATATTGATCTACTTTGGCCCATCCTTGTAAATTTCCCAATTATGATGACTTTTAGAGGCTTTCTCCAGGTTGAAGAGCTTTACGGCCTTAGTATTTGAGTCTGGAATACAATATGTTTTCTTGAAAATTATTGTGTGAAATTCCTGTCTATAATGGGAGTCAACACACAACCCTGTAAACATCATATGTGTATTAGTTTCCTATTGCTACTGTAAGAAATTACCACAAACTCAGTGGCTTAACACAACACAACATTTATTATCTTACAGTTCTGGTGATCAGAAGTCTGAAATGGATCTTAGGGGACTAAAATCAAGGTGTTGGAAGGGCTGCACTCCATCTGGAGGCTCGGGCAGAATTTGCTCCCTGCCTTTTCCAGCGATTTGAGAATGCCTGCATTTCTTGGCTTGCAGCTACATCATTCGGACCTCTGGTCCACTGTCACATCTTCTCTGACTGTGACCCTTATGCCTCCCTTTTATAAAGACCTTGTGATTATTTTTGGTCCACCCAAATAATCCAACATGATCTAATTTCAAGATCTTAATTTAATCACATCTGCAAAGTCCTTTTTGCCACACAAGGTAACATTCACAGGTTTCGGTAATTCGGACATAGGTATCTACCTTGTTGGGGGTGAGGGCATTCTGTTTATCAGAACTCAGTACTTATTGCCATTCAGTTTCACCTTTGGAAAATTAGACTGATCATTTTAACCAAATTACAAATAATCACCCATCTCTTAGTTGCCACACATCTGGAATTCAGACTCCCCCTAACCAAAAAAAAAAAACAACAACAACAACAAAAAAACCTCTTCCTTACTGTTGCTAGTTACTATGTTACTATGCTTTTAAGTTATGTCTGAGAGAGGGAAAAATCTTCTATGTGCTGAGAATTTTCTGCCCCAAGGCAAAACTGTACAGGAAGGGGAAGAAAACATTGCAAACAGGAAAAAGATTAAACAGCATGCATTTTTTTTCTCAGTTAGCAGTTTCATCTTCCTTCTTGCCAAACATTATAAATATTTCCCCCCTTCCCCTTCTCAAGCTTTTTTTTCCAGTTAATTAATTTGATGAAGACAGTGAAACCAGATCCTTGAGGGCATGGAACACTTAAGGGTATGAGCTGTGACAATGGGAAGACCAAAACAAAAATGTCTTCTCTTCTGTCTAATGTTTCACCAGGTGTCGGAAAATTAGTGAGAATACATCATTTAAAATACAGATAATATTCTGGTTTTCCACTACATAGAAGTGAAAGTTGGCCGGGAGTAGTGGCTCATGTCTGTAATCTTAGGACACTGGGAGGCCGAGGCGGGCAGATTGCCTGAGCTCAGGAGTTCGAGACCAGCCTGGGCAACATGACAAAACTCCAAACTCCATCTCTACTTAAAAAAAAAAAAAAAAATTAGCCAGGTGTGATGGCACTCATCTGTAGTCCCAGCTACTTGGGAGGCTGAGGCATGAGAATCGCTTGAACCCAGGAGGCAGAGGTTGCAGTGAGCAGAGAGAAGTTAAAGTTAAAATTCACACTCGCTTAGGATACAGATAGACATAGGGTTAAGTCTCTGTTGTGCAATTACTAGTCCAGTGATACTGGGAAAGTTTCTTACTCAAGTCTGTATCTGTTTATATTATATTGACATTAGCTTTTTCTCATGTCATCAAAAATTCTTGGAGATCATTTATTTTAATATCTGCTCAATGACATAGCCAAAACTAAACCACAGAAGGGCTAAATGGCCTGTGGCCTCAAAACAACTTATTGGCACGGCTGGGAATAAAATGTGTTATATTTCGTAGCCCTGTGTTCTTTTCACTCAACTCCTCTACTTTGAAATTTCAGGCAACAACTTTCATAGACACACTCCAATGCACTCACCTGAGGTCAGACCACAATCTGCAATCAGCAGTTTAAGAATCAAGTGATGGGTATCAAAAACCATAAAATTCACTAAATAGATTTGGCAGGATGACAGTTTCTCTCCCTGGTCCCTCATCCTCTCCACCCCCAAATCACATGCCTGTAACCTCTCAACTCCCACCTTCTACCTTTTATGGACCATGAATGTTTAAAACAATAAAGGGACTAAAAGTTTGTTAACATAATCATCCACTAAAGACATGCCATGAAAGTCAGTATAATAAGAGAAAGATGTGTCTGGTAAATACACCTCTCTAAAAAATCTAAAGGCCCCAAATTCTCCCTGGTTGCGGCCCTTGGGCACAGGACCCAGGAAGCAAAGCAAAAGAGTGAAAAAGGATCAAGAAACAGGTGTCATTCAAACCAGAAACCCAAACCTTTTACTCTACCAGTTTTCCAATTCTCCTTCAATAATACCAGTTAAGAATCATAGCATAAGAGAAACAAACAGGACAATGTAATGCCAGTTAATGTTGTAGCCAAAACAAAAAGACAGAGAAACTTTAGTAAATTAGAACTACTTTAGGCCATAATGCCCCCAAACCAGCATGGCTGGTTTACTCAATTTATCAATTGCAATAAACTGAAAATTGATGTAATAACTATAAATGTTGTTGAAGTAAACTTCTTCCAATCAGGTGTATATCTTTCTCTCCAATGTCAGATTCAGACTTAGCCACACTGAAACCATTTAAGATGAAGTGTTGCAGCCTTCCTCTTGGGATTCCTCCCCATTATGTAGAAGATTTGCATGGCTCTTGAATACTTACTGCAAAGATTCTATGGACTTTTATTCCTGACTTCTCGTTCCCGGGACCCTTTGCTCCCCAGTACCATTGCCGACTCATTCACCTCTTATATTTGAGTCTTGACTGCCGAGAACTTCAGCACCTGCCTGCCCTTCCTACCATAGCTGAATTTTCTGGATGTGCATTCTTGCAAAATGGGCCAATAACTACTTGCCTTGTCACTGTTACTTTTGGTGAACTCTCTGGCTTAGATATCTGGCCTGACTTACCCTTCTATACACTTGCATGTGTGCACACACAAACATAACACACACACACACGCTCACACAAATATGCTAGCGAAACACTTAGTCCTAATTCCCTCAATCTACTCTGTCCTACTGCTAGCCAAGTGGTAACATGCCAATTTCACAGAGGTAAAAAGAACAATACCGAATAGTCTAAAGAATTTCAAGGGACTCAAACTCTACAGCACTCCACTCTTGTCTTTACTTCCTCTCTGCTCCCTTGTACAATAACTACAGATCTGAATCTAATGAATTACCACAGAAATGCTATAATTCAACATACAGTTGCATAAAAAGACTGCTTTCCTGGGCATATTCCATTTTCTATTTTCCAATTTACCTCTCTGTAACCTTCATTGACCCATGCTCTCAAGACTCATCTGAAATCCTGTATCTTCCTCCATGGACAATCATTAAATAGACTAAACAGTAACTTAAAAGAGCCTCAAAAAATGCATACTTCTATTTTTATACCTACTATTATATTGATTTTTCTTGAAAATTTTTACTCCTAATATATGGTTGATCTACGTCAATGTATAAAAAGTCTTCTTAAAAAGTTAGAAAAAATATATCATATTGGAATTAATGATTATTTTTTATTATAATTTTACAGATTATACAAAAAGGAAAATTGAGAAATAGATGTTTGAAAATCAAATGTGTGCAGTATCAAAATAAGCAAAATCAGAGTAGAGAAATTAGTAATCACATTTTATATTTAGCTAAATATCAACTGTAAATCTCACTGGTCAGATCCATAGCAAGTATTTGTCAAGCCCTAAGCTTAACACCCTGATCTTGTTCTAAGCAGTTTATAAATATTACCTAATTTAATTATCTCAACAATCCTATATAGTAAATACCACTTACCATTGAGGAAACTCAAAGCAGAGAGGTTATGTAAATTGTCAAAAGCCACACAGCTGATAAGTGATAGAAACAGGATTCAAGCCCAAGAAATCTCACTCCAAAGTCTACTTCTTAAACTATGTGGCTAATTAGTCTCTGCTTTACTATCTACTTTTTTGAAGGTGGTAACTCTGTTTTGTCTCCAATACATCTCCCAGGTTCCTAACCCCTACTGACTCTATTTATGTACTAATTCACTCTTTCTTCCTTACCTGCTCAAAATTGGTCTGTTTTGTTTAAATAAATAAGCAAACCCTGTGCTGTTTCTAATCATCTATTTGCATTAAGATTACTCTCTGCTGCCCCCTGGAGATAATTTGGTGAAATCAATGCTAAGATTTTTGTAAATTTATCTAGCAAATTCAAAAATAGCTTCACATTAAGATTTTGATCACAAAGTATGCTAACATGCCTAAATGTTATACATTTAATTTACATCTTTTGGAAACTGCTGCAACATAACAAATGACTACCTGATGGATAGTACAGATATTATACCTTGAAGAAATGTTGCTGAAAAAAACAAAAATGAATCTTTTGAGTTGCCAGGATGGTTTAATAAAACAACAGTGCTGCCAGGCATGGTGGCTCATGCCTGTAATCCCAACATTTTGGGAAGCTGAGGCAGGAGGATCACTTGAGCTCAGGAGTTTGAGACGAGCCTGGGCAACATAGTGAGAGCCCATCTCTATAAAATTTAAAAATTGTTTTAAAAGCAGCAGTGTAAAGAAATGGATAAATGGATGGATGGATGGATGGATGGATGGATGGATGGATGGATGGATAGAAGATAGATTCCCTATCTCATTGCATGAAAATTTGCAAAGATTGCCACCTTTGGGTACCCTGGAATGCAAACTCCAAGACGGAGTTTAATGTGAAGAATTGTTATTATATTAAGGAGTAACCTCAGATCATCACTTGGGGATAAGAAGGAACAGAAACTGATGTGGGTATAGGGAATCACACTATATGGTAGGCCCACACCAGAATCAGCTAGCCCTATGGGGAGCTATAGAGCTGAAACTGCCCCTTAGAGTTGTCCTCTGTTGTCCTGAAATGGGCAGATCTTTACACTTCTGCATCTATGAGTCATTTGTTATAGCCACGGGAAAGACCATGACCTTGGGTAAGGAAATCCATGAAGAGGCCAATCCCTGAACTGTGGAAAACACTGTCAACACTGGAGCAACAAAGTCCTTCAATGAAGGGGGTTGATGGTACCCCACAGTGTTTGTCTGCCAATTGAATAAATGTTGGAAAATAATCCACTCTAAATCTAGTCTCAAATGCAATGATATTCCACTCAGCCAATTGTCTTTCATTCCCAAGAAACCAAATTAATGGAAAATCTTGTCAAAAATATAACCTTGAAGTAGCTCTGCATTAAGATATTTTCTCCCTGAGGCAGTCAGGTAATTTTCATCTGTAAGTGTCAACTGAGAAATCCAGAAGATATGGAAATAAATTTTTTAAAGGAAAAGCCCAATCATATACCTTGGCTAAAAACTAACATCAAGGCAAAGCATGCTGAAGAGAGACAAGTATCATCTGATCTCCAGAACACCCTAATATTAAAGTCAAGAAGAGCAGAACATTTTAAAAAGAAATAGTCTAGACTGAGCCAAGTGGGTTTACCTTAAATGTCTCAGACAATATTAATTGATAAGCAAATTAGTTCTATATAACTTTCTAACAAAAGAATATGAATCATGAAAATTATGTCAGTCATAGAAGCTTATATTTGCCTGAAATTTTATTCAAATTTTATTGGGCCTTTCTCAAAGAAATGATAAATGTTCTGTTGATCCATCACAGTTTTATTTTATCAATGGCTTATTTTGTCCCCAAATTTGACCATCCTGTCTATCTTTTATAAGATAATGTAATGTTTTCAGTGAATAACTGAAAAATAGTTTAAGTTGGCTAAACTCTAATTAGTTACAGTTGGAGTTTAAGAATGTCACAATTTTTTATCTAATTTTGAGAGGAGCTGTTAAGGTTATGGCTCCTAAGTTGAACTTCTGGGTTCAAATTTCAGTTCAGCCTCTTAGTTTTGGGTTACTGTGTTGTTTTTTTTTCTGTTCTCAGATGCTATTTGATTTTTTCGAATCTGCTAACATTTTTGTAACTTTAGTTTTCCACCAAAACTTTTAGTCCTTTGTCTCCTGAAACATAAAAATAATATTTTAAAGTCTCTGTCTGATCATTCCAATATTTGAAGTAATGGTGGGTAAATCTCTATTGGTTCTTTCTGTGATGTTTGGTCTCCTCATGTGCCAGGTATTGTGTTTTCTTTCTCAAATTGCAGAAAAACTGGAAATTATTTGAGGCCCTGCAAAATTTTGTCTTCCTCTGGAGATTTTCATTTGCTTCTGCCAGGAGTCCATAAACAGTAGCAATCAGGAGTCACCTTAATCCAGTTTTAAGGACTAGAATTTTCTGTGCAATCAGATGACTCAAAGGTAGGTTGCAGTCTATGTGCTATGGCTTGAATGTGTCCTCCATATTTCATGTTGGAAATTAATCCTCAAACTTATATGTTGATTGGAGGTACAGCATTCGAAAGGTAAGCAGGATTAGATAAGGTCATCAGGTTGGGACTCCAACGATGGGACTGGTGGCTTTCTAATAAGAGGAAGAGAGACCTGAGCTGACATGCACACTCTTCCTCTCTAACCATGTGATACCCTTAACCATGTTATGATGAGCAAGAAGGCCCTTACCAGATGCCAGCCCCTCAAACTTGGACTCTCCAGCCTCTAGAACTGTGTAGGAGATAAATTTCTTTTATAAATTACCCATTCTGTGGTATTATGTTATAGTAACACAAAACAGCCTAAGACACTATATAAGGGGTGATTTTATCGTCCACTCCATCCTATCCCAAACCACTCTTTCTCATTTCAAGAGGCTACAAAAGGTACTGCTCACCTTTCAACTAGCTCTTCTATATCAATCAGTAAACATCTCAAGGGTAAATGTAGTTCCAATGCCAGTTTCATCAATCTGTATTTCTTTCTTTTTCTGAATCTTGGTGAGGTAATTCTTCATTACCTTGCTAGGTCACTGATCTGCCATCCAGTAGACTTTTAAAATGATTATGTCTAGATTTTCTAGTTGGCTTGAGAGGGAAGATTGATCTAAATTTCTTAGTCTGTATCACCTGATGTAAAAGTCCAATTCCTTGATTCTTTGCTTTTCCTCATCTATCAGCAAGTCTTTTTGGTCTCTACTTTAAAATGTTTCCTGAATTTGACCATTTCACATCATCTCCACTCTACTGGATTAGAAAAAGAAGGATGCAGTTACAGCTTCAAAAGCATGGTTTTTAAAACTAAAATACTGTATCATTTAACTTGCGGGCAGCAGCAAAAAGGTAAACAGATACCAGAAGCCACAGAACACTTGTGTTTCGTGACTGCTTCCATTTTACCACAACTTTCTGAAATGCATTTTATTAAAGTCGTTTTTATTTTGGTCACTTGTAGCATTGATTATGTTGTTGAAACATAAAAGCTCAGATATTCCATACAGGAAATTTAAGAATTTTAAAAGTCTGAAGGCCTATATTAAGACTTTTTTCTTAAAATCATTTATGCTCCATTGACAACTAAGTTATGCTTTTATGACTATTTTCCTACTAGTGATCTTTCTTTCTTATATGCTTTCTTTTTACTTACTAATATACTACCAATAACTTGGAGTGATTTAATGTGATTTCAAAATGTGTGTAGGGGAATTTTCTAAAGAATACTGTTATGATTATCTCACCTTGGGAAAAGAAGAAGTAGGAAATATGAAACTGCTGAAAACGTTTGAATGTTGAATGTTCTGTATTGAGAAAAGGAAGTAGATAAGATCTTTTTTGATTTAATATTTCTATCTTTTACTTGGCTAAATATGATAAAGCAATGAAACCTGTAAGAAGTAGTGCTCTGCTTCCTAGTCAAAGTATCTTTAATTCTGGAAATTTTCAGCAAATTTCCTCCTTTTACTTCATTTTTTTCAAGTACTCCTATAATATTGTTTGGTTTGCTTTTGTTTTGTGTTGTTTTGTTTTTTGAGACAGAGTTTTGCTCTCTCACCCAGGCTGGAGTGCAGTGGTGTAATCTCAGCTCACTGCAATCTCTGCCACTCAGGCTCAAGAAATTCTCATGCCTCAGCCTCCCAAGTAGTTGGGATTGTGGGCGTGCACCACCATACCTGGCTAATTTTTTGCATTTACAGTAGAGAAAGGGGTTTCATCATGTTAGCCAGGCTGGTCTCCTACTCCTGGCCTCAAATCGATCTGCCCACCTCGGCCTCCCAAAGTGCTGGGATTACAGGACCAAGCCACCATGCCCAACTCTTACAATACTGTTATTTAAATTTCTTCTTTTCACCTTCGCAGCTCTTAACTTTTAAATTCTTTATATTTTTTATCCCTTCCTAATATTTATTGAAATATTCTCCAATCTAATTATCCTGCTATTTTGTTCTTTGAGTTGATAATATTATTCAACTATTAAACACATCCATTGAGAAATTTACTTCACAATAATATAATTCATATCTAATATGTTCAACTGGTACTTCTTAGAAGCTTCCTGTTTCATGTTTGCCATATATTCCCTTATCTCTGAGGATATTTTCTGTTTTTATTTAAATTCTTTGCCCACCAAGTCCATTCATTCTGATTACTTCTAGAATGAATTATCTTTTTCTTACTTTTTCTTCTATTGCTTGTGGGTTCATAATGTGAGTTCGTGAGATTATACTATTATGGTAAAATCAGCTATCTTTTAAAAAAAATCAGCTATCTTGGTAAATAACAGATACCTAGAGAGAGGAGTGAAAGGCTAGGTTCTGACTTGCACTAGTCTAGGCAGAAGAGAGATATATCACAGCATTCTGGGCTCAACCACTCGTGCGCCTGCCACCCATGAGATCCTGCCTATTAGGTAACCACCTAGTACCACTACACCAGGCATTATTCCTTTCTAGAGAGTAATCACAAAACATTGTTTGAATCTGATTGTCCAGCCCCTAGAGGAGGATGGGTAAGGAGGTTGGAGGGAATGTTCAAGGACATTGCTGCACTCAACTCCAGCTAAACCTGATGTTCATACCAGTTGAATCACCAATTCATTGCACTCCTCTCCAGAGGCCCCATACTTTATTACAGGTGGCTGAGACAGCAGCTTTGATTATAACCTCCTTCCACAGGAAGAATTCTAGTTTTGCCATGTCCTATTAAAATGACTAGAGAAAGTCTGTCCCACTTTTCTCAAAAATCTCCAGAGAAATCACTTGTATTTAGAGCAGAACCTGGAATACATCTTTCCTACAAGTATACAATCTCACAATAAGTGCAGGTGAGAAACTTCTCATTTTTAAATGTTTTTATCTTTTAATCTATGTGCAGAAAACAGTTCATATAGCAGGCCTGTGGCTGCTACCCTTAGAAAGATTTGTTTACAAGATTGGCACTGGGCTGACATTTGAGAACTTGACTGGTAAACAGTTTCCTTGCATGGCACAGAGCCAACTTTCCATTCATGAGTGGCTCACTGTATCTAAACTATTTGAACAAACAAGTGGTACATACTGATGCTGCTTTCCTTCTGCAAATCTGAACTTTCAGTGACTATAGTCAGTCACACAGGCACTAGATGCCTATATGAACAGCGCTCGGTAAAAACCCTGGACTCCTAGACTCAGGTGAGCTTTGCTAGTAGACAACATTTCACACATGTTGTTAAAACTCATTGCTGGCAGAATTAATTGCATCCTGTGCAACTTAGGGGACAATTAGAAGCTTGTGCCTGGCTTCCTCCAAACTTCACTTTGAGTGCCTTTTCCCCTTGCCAGGCTTGCTTTGTATTCTTTTGTTGTTGTAAATTATAGGCATAAGTACAACTATATGCTGAGTTCTGTGCATCCTTGCTCGCCTCATTTGGGAGCTAGTCTTGGGAACACCTGACACACTCTACCTATGAATAAGTTAAAAATTTGAATATACATCAATATATCTGCCTGTGAATGTTGCCTCATCTCCTCAGGGTGTTAGAGAACATTCCATTCACTTCCAACAAGGCAACAAGATATAAACTAGATGTGTACTACAAAGTAAACTTGCCCACTAAAATAACCTTGCTTAACACACAACAAGAATTAAAATGTTAACGAATTAATCAGTCAGAACAGCAAAATCCATACTATTTTCCAAAAACAATTTTAAAAAAACCCTCTGAGCTTGTTACTGATATAAAAACACAACCTGAATATGGTAAATAGTGTTCCAAATTATTTTAATAGCACTTGTATGACACAGAGCCAAATGCAAAATTACGAATGAAAAAAATTAAGACCACTTAAAGCAATCATTTCTCCCTCTATTGATAAAAACAACCTTGAAAGAAGTGAACCTTTACTCCTCCTCCAGAATCCAAATCACTCTACAAACTCACCTCCTACCTATGATTACTGTCTGATGGTTAATCTCCAGATCTCTTTAGAGAAATCTGTCAGTGCAGTAGGCACAACCTTAAAAGAAAGCTCAAACAACTTCTCTGAAAAAGAAACAACTTCTCTAAATTTAGATATATTCTCTAAAGACACATTAATCAGATATTTAAAAAGCTCAATGCTTTCATGAGCTCCAAAGACTAAAATCATGGAAAATAGGTCTCTATTGGTTCTTGAATTATAGTAAAATAATAAATCTCAAGAATAATAATTTATGCCCTAATTAAGAAATTAAGCCTGGGCGTGGTGGCTCATGCCTGTAATCCCAACATTTTGGGAGGCTAAGGCAGGATGATTTCTTGAGGCTAGGAGTTCAAAACTGACCTCAGCAACATAGTGAGACTCTGTCTCTCCAAAAAAAAAAAGCACACACACACAAAAAAACTTTGTAAAATTAGCCAAGGGTGGTTGAGTGCCTGTCGTCTCAGCTACTTAGGAGGCTGAGGCAGGAAGATCACTTGAGCCCAGGAGGTTGAGACTACAGTGAGCCATGATTGTGCCCATTCCAGCCTGGGCAACAGAGCGAGACCTTGTCTCTAAAAAAAAAAAGAAAGAAATTAGGTGAACAAATCAAACTTGTTGTGCCACAAATTTGTGTCAATGTGTCAGGTAATATCTAAAGTAAAATTTTAAAATGAATGTTGCACAGAAAACTCAAGAAAAATATAATTAATTGTATTTTAAATTTAAATCATTCATTCAGATAGTAGTCATCACAATTTAAGTAATTTATGTGGAAGTTTCTCCCATATCATGCTCCTTCATATAAAGCCTCTTTCATCTTCCTTTCTCCCAATATTTTCTTCCTAATACAAGAGTTTGATATCCTAATTGGAATGTAACCAGGTCTTTCTCATAGTTTATCAGTACTCAGATAAATTCCTGGCATAGCAGACACCCAATAAATGTTCATTATTGTTGTTAAGACAAGCAGAAAAGTCAGGGTAAGAAAGGTCTAGTGGAAATCAGACACTGAGACCTAATCCATTCCCTCTCTCTATTTCTAGAAGTAAGTTTTGCTAGAGTCCCTGCTCTTGCTTCTGTCAGGACATTCAAACCATGTTTAACTTAGGATGGGAGTTATCTGATGTTCCCAGTGCCCCTACCTATCTAGGCCTACAAAGTTTACCTTCTTCATGTCTTAGATGGATTCCATAAGCTTGAAACCTATAGGACCTGGACATAAATTGGGATCACTCTGGACCTAATGGCCATTCACTATAGAGGCAGACATCGCAGTAAGAACAATTGAGAGGATCCTGTCCTACCTATCTTCCTTCTATTCTTAGCTGAGCATGACAGAGTATAACTATGACATTTAGGGCAGATGAATTTTAGCAATAAAAGCTGATTCTGGGGATGATGTATAAAGTAACGCCTGTCAAAGTCATATTAAATTTTTAAAACCTTGTTAACTTTGTGGTAAACTACCTCCTCGTTATCAAAACAGAAGGCACTTTTTCTCAGAAGGTTGGCCATAAATACATCCTAAGTCAAACTGGGAATAAGCCATGTGATTATCTGGGGTAAGCATTCCAGGGAGAAGTACAAGGACACAGAGGCAGGTGTGTGTATATGGCTTGCTTGAAAAACAGCAAGGAAGCCAGTGTGGCTGGAATGGAGTAGAAAAGGGGAAAAATAACAATAGATGAAGTCAGACAAGAGTGGAAGAAGAAAATGAAAGTTCATGTAGGGCTTTTTAGGTTAGTGCAAGAACTTTTTCTATGAGTGAGACAGGAAGCTCTTGGAGGTTTAGCTTATGTTTTAACAGGATCATGGTTGCTGCCACTGAAATGGGAAAAGTACTCTTGTCCCGCTCGAAGGGCATGTGACAAGGAATGGCTCGCTTCTTCAGGGCCCCACTGCTCAAACCTCTAGGGGAGCATACAGACAGGCAGGTTGTGGGGCTCCGACCCCACGGCAGCATCTAGGGGTGGATGTTTACAGCTCCTGAAGCCTCAGTGGGCATCTGCTACCGTGTGCGCTTTTAGTTTTGTCATCTATAGGCAGCTTGTGTTAACCAGCTAATTAGACCGTCTACCTTGTCACAAGGACAAAGAGTTTTCTATATCCTGGGTTCTTGCCTTGGTGTACTGGAAGAATCGGATCACACATGGGCTTGGAGAATGAGTGCATGGTTTTGACTGGAAGTAGCTCACAGCAGATAGGGGAGCCAGAAGGGAGATGGTTTTCCCCAGGAGTTCAGCCACTCAGCAGCCCTCCAACCGCCCCGGCCAAACTCTGCATCATTCTACTGGTCAATGGCCTGCTGGTGGGCAGCTTGCTCCCCTCGACGTCCTCTTGACATCCAGCAGCTCGTGTCTTCTTCCACCAAGGTGTTCCTCTCAAGGTCCAACCACTTGTGTGTCTGCCTGCTAGGTGTCGGGGTTTTTATAGGCACAGGATGGGGGTGTGGCAGACCTGGGTGGCTTTGGGAAATGCAACATTTGGGCACAAAGCCAGAAGTGCCTGTCCTCACCTAGGTCCGTGGGCACAGGCCGGGGGTGGAGCTCTAGCCAGGGACCTGCCCTTCTCCTCACAATTCCCTGCCCCACTTCCCTGCCCCACTTCCCTATCACCATGTTGCAAATATACTGAAGGGGGCAAAGGGCAAAGGTGGGTGATCAATTTGAAAGCTACTGCAATAATCTAGGTGGGAGATAATGGTGGCTTGTATCAGGGTGGTGGCAGTGGATGTGCTAAAAAGTATCCAATTCAGGATATGTTTTCAAGGTAAAGCCAAGGGGATTGCTAACAACTTGGACTTGGGGTAACAGAAAAAGGAGTCCAGAATTTTCTCCCAAGATTTTCAGCTAAGTCAATTGGAGGAATGGAGGTGCCATTGTCTCTTACAGATTAGGAGACAATTAAAGGATATTAGAAATTCTGTTTTGGACCTAGGAAATGGGAGGCGCATATTAGACAGCAAGATTTTCTAATCTACAGTCCTTCTTTTCCCTACTTGGACTAAAACCCTATTCTGAATCTTAGCCCTGACCTAGTCCTGATCTAGCAGGCTAGATCCTGACTCCCAATCTACACTTATTGGCTAAGCTCCTACTCCACACACAAAAAGACCACCTCGAACCAAGATGCTGCCAACAACAACAGATTCACAGTACTATTGCCAGAACCCAGAAAGTCCTGTCACAACATCCTATCCACCAGACTTGATTCCCTTCAATACTAATTTTGTTTTTATTATTTTTTTAGGGACAGTCTCGTTTTGTTGCCCAGGCTCAAGCGATCCTCCTGCCTTGGCCTCCCAAAGTGCTAGGATTACAGGTGTGAGCCTCTTTTCCTGGGCTTTGATAATTCCCTGTAGACCAGATGATTTCCACTGCAGCCCTACAATGGGGTTATTATAAACTAATTCCTCCCAATTCTAGCCCTCACCTGTCTCACTAGTAGGTCTCACTGCTATGTATGTTTCATATTTGAACTTCTGCAAATTATGAGTTTAATCATGTTGAGGGAAAACATAGTGTATTATTAACTCTAAATCATCCTGAAGTTTTATATGCTTTGTTTACACAGATGCTTTTAAAAGATGAAGTGAAAGAGAAAAAAATATATAAATTGTCAAGTGGTTTTACTAGTCATACTTCTTTCCAGTAGACCGTTTGATCCTTCAAGCTTTGCATGACAAGACAATTTGTTGCAAAAACTGTCCTGTCAAATAATTCTAAAATGATTTGTCCTATCAGGTGAAATCCAAAATGATTTAGAATTCAGAAACATGAATGATTATTAAATGAATACTATAATGTCTATTAATCCCGGAACACCTCTAAAACCTTTCTAAGAATCGCCAAAACTCTTTTATGCTCTTATTTCCAAACCTGGGGTTCCAAGGTTTGAAAACAAAATGGCATGTATAAAAGCACTTTCAAAGTATATTACATACACAGCGTCAGGCCTCTGAGCCCAAGCTAAGCCATCATATCCCCAGTGACCTGCACGTATACATCCAGAAGGCCTGAAGATCCACAGAAGGGAAAACAGCTTAACTGATGACATTCCACCATTGTGATTTGTTTCTGCCCTATCCTAACTGATCAATGTTCTTTATAATCTCCCCCACCCTTAAGAAGTTTCTTTGTAATTCTCCCCACCCTTGAGAATGTACTTTGTGAGATCTACCCTCTGCCCCTAAAACATTGCTCTTAACTCCACCGCCTGTCCCAAAACCTATAAGAACTAATGATAATCCCACCACCTTTGCTGACTCTCTTTTGGGACTCAGCCCACCTGCACCCAGGTGAAATAAACAGCCTTGTTGCTCACACAAAGACTGTTTGGTGATCTCTTCACATGGATGAGTGAAACACACACTAATGAGAATCCCAAATTTCTGATGTATACAACAGAGTATTATACACACTTTTATACATGGAGGAGAGAGAATAGCGAACAGAAAGGCACCCCAAACCCTAATGCAAAGAGCAATAAAAAATTAGCCAGCCAGCAGCACATCAGGCTGCCGTATTGGCTGCCCTCAAAGTCGCAGGTTCTGTTCATTAATTTTTGTATCATATTTATTCAAGAATTGTACTGTTTAATTACTGAACAACCTGGGGAATAGCTCAAGAAACCATGAGTTACCCTTTCTGGGCTGCTGATGTTTTAGAAAACCTAGTTTTTTTAACATATGAATATTTTTCAGTTATTCATTTCATCATTATGATACCTGTATCTCCCATTTCAGTACTGATCGACTTTAGGGAGAAACTTTTGAAATAAGATGATATTACGAAACGTCCACGAAACAATTCTGTAACATCTGTGCAAAACTGTTTTTATAAGAAATCTCTAAAATTTAATGACATTTCCTGCACCTATAGTGAAGGCGGAAATACAAACAGTCCCTTCCACGAAAACGAGGTGCTATTACAATCACATTTCTCATCAGCCCTTTTCTTTTTTGCAAAAGTGTTTATCCTAGTGCTGCGGACTTACGACAAACGTCAACAGTTAATAAGATAACCAAAAACTGTGAAAATCAAACGTTCCTGGAATGCATCGGAGCTTCACACTTTAGTCCTTCGCTTGAGACTCAAAGGCCACATGGCCAGATAGGTCTTTCACCTCTGCAAACCGTTAAACATCCTTCCAGTAAGACATAATCGTTAAGCCCACGGTGTTAAAGAAACCCAGTGAGCTGTTCCCCGCAGGTCACCGCCTGCCTCCACCCTCCTCCCGCGCACTGAAGGCAAAACACTTAGACCGGAACGAGCGAGGCCAGAGGAGACAACAACTCCCAGCAGGCGTCGCGGCAGCGGGAAGTCACGCACGCGCAACCCAGGCCACAGGAGTAAAATCTCTCTGCCCGTCTTCTGGGAAGGGAGAATGGCGGCGCCCGGGCTGCGGCTGGGAGCGGGAAGACTCTTTGAAATGCCTGCGGTGCTAGAGCGACTGAGCCGCTATAATAGCACGTCCCAAGCTTTTGCTGAGGTGCTGCGGCTGCCGAAGCAGCAGCTGAGGAAGCTGCTGTACCCGCTGCAGGAAGTAGAGCGGTTCCTCGCCCCCTACGGGAGGCAAGACCTTCACCTGCGTATCTTTGACCCAAGCCCGGAGGACATAGCCAGGGCGGACAACATCTTCACGGCCACTGAACGGAACCGCATCGACTACGTCAGCTCCGCCGTCCGTATCGACCACGCCCCGGACCTTCCGCGGCCAGAGGTGAGAGGCGATTCTCACGGTTCACCTGCGCGCCGGCGTCACAGCGCTAACCGCTTCCCTGGCCGTCCGGCTCGCGGGTGATTTTGCGGTTGTATTTTCTAGCTTTATGTTGGCGCATATATTATTTTAACTCAATAGGCATATGTCGATGCTCCCTGTACGTGGGGATACCCGAGAAACCCATTGTTAAGTACAAAATGCAGTCAATACCCATAAACCCATGGTAAAGTCAAAAATCGTTAAGTCGACCCACTGTAAGCAGAGACTGCCTGTATACAGCTTAAATTATTTTGGAATGAATATAGAAGACTTCAAAATGCTTTAAAAGCTTTTCAAACCCAAATTAAGCATTCAAAAAATTAACTCTCCTTTTTTCTTCTATTTAACTTAAGTAGGGAAAACATGCCAGACAAATTAGACAGAATTTAGACAGTGAAGAATAGGAAACGAATAATAGTTTCACAAATGAGATGGTCCTTATCAATAAGTAACTTTCGCCTAATCTAAATTTCCTATCGTGCAAAAATAATAATCTCTAGATGGCAATAATGTGGAAAAATTTTTATAACAACGTTTATTAGTGAAATTTCATGAGTGAGCATTCTTGCATGTCCTACAATTTATTGATATTCTGTTCTAAGTCTGCTAAAAGGCATCTCAACTCTCCATATGTATTTACACTAAGTGCACCATTGCCCAGAGATATTTCGTCTAAATATATGTGGAACTATAGTCAGGATTCAAAGAGTACCTCAATTATTTAATGATTTTGAGACAGCCATTGCTTTTTTATTTAAGCTTCTAAATTACTGGACTTTTTTGTAATTCGTTTTTAAAATTCAGTTTTATCTACATATTAGCATTAGATTTGCTCTGGCAGAGCATTTAAAATTTTTGCAGGACTCAGATCAATTAATTTTGAAGAACTGACCAGAATTTTCCAGGATAGGATCCCTGGCCCCTGCCCACTAAATGTCCCCCAATTGTCTTGATAACCAAAAATGCCCTTAAAATCTCCAAAATGTCCCTCAAGGGGCAGTACGGCCGTCATTTAGAACAACTGATTGGCATTGTACCCCCTCCCCCAATACCATGTTCAAAAGCAGAGCCATGTGTATTAATGGTTATTATCGAGAATATTCTGTTGTTTTCCACACTACAGAGGAGACAAGCTTAATTGGAACAAGAGAGGTCAAGGGAAAAGAGTAAGTTTTTAAATTGCAGTGGTGTTACAGTATACCATGGGAGTGCTTGAGAAAATGTGCTTCCAAACATGTAGTTGTACTTTTCATCTAGTTCTGTTGAACTACATCTAGTTTTTACTCTAAAAAGCTTTGTAAATATGAAATGCTTAATAAAAGTTGCATATATTCTTGAGTAGCGTAGTGAAACTAAAAGCACAGATTCTAGATATACATGTCCTGAGTTCAAATCCCAACTCCTTCACTTTCTAGCTGTATAATTTTGGGTTAGTTGTGTTCTCTCATCCGTAAAATGGGGATAATATCACCTACCTCCTAGATGCTGTAAAAAATGAATAAGAAAATATATGCTGAATGCTTAAAATAGTACCTGGCACATTTAATTCATTCAATAAATATTAGCTGTGTTAGAATTTGAAGTTTTTTACATCTAATGCAGAATAGCATATACAGCTAGTACGTACTTATCTTGTTTTTTCTTGTATAAGGTGTGTTTTATAGGCAGAAGCAATGTTGGAAAATCATCTCTAATCAAGGCTTTATTTTCACTGGCCCCTGAGGTTGAAGTCAGAGTCTCCAAAAAACCAGTATGTTGAAGTTTTTAAATATGTTTGGACTATCTCTTGGATTAACTAACATGAATAATAAATGCTGGAAGGTATAAGAAATCATAATTACTAAGTTCCTAGAGAAGTGATTTCTTTCAAAAAAGTAATAAAGTAAGACATCCTAATGCCTGTGTATTCCTCTGAAGAAAAGGAAGTGTAGCTGGATTTATTTTAGTAGTCTAGACAATATCTTCAGAAAGTCTTTCTTTATCCAAATTTTGCAGAGTTGCCAAATAAAGTGTCTTATTGTCATTCTATATTTCCTCCTATAACAGTGATCATCTAGTTCTACACTGATTGTACGGTAAATGGCTTTTAGGTTTTTCTTGCTTTTTTCCTCCTATAATCTTTTTTAAGGTATAAAGTACGTGATTAGTTACACACACACATTCGGCATATTCTTATGTGCTTGTTTTCCTAGCCAGTCTGCTGTAATAGCTTTCTTTCATTTTCTAATTCCCTCTACTTTCTTCTCAACGACGCAGTCTCTGCCAATATCTAAGATACCCTTTCTTCAAAATCACCCCCACTTTGTCTCACCATATCTGGCCATGGTAAACCTTTCCACCAACCCTAATGTTCACTATCCCTGTGTATGTGCGTGCACGAACGCACACACACCCCTTTCATTGAGTTGGAACCCTTCCATGAGACTTCACTAGGTCTTTTCTTGCTCCTCACTTCATAAAATGATTCTCTGGCTCCATCGCTAATGATTCTTCCCATTACTTAACCCTCCCATCCTTACTCCTGCCCCGCCTCACCAAATAAATCAGCCAAATGATCACTTCTAAGTAGAGTGATCTCCTTCCTTTTGTGAGAGGACAATGGAGGAAATGTATTCTTGACATTCCCAATCTGTAATTCTAAAATCATTTTCCTGTAGACAAATAAACTGACTGGGAACTTAAAATCACCATTTATAAAAATCTTTCCTTTGATAATATTTGTTCTAAGATCCAAACAATTGACTTAACTTTAAAAATTGCCTATCTTGCCGGGCACAGTGGCTCATGCCTGTAATCCCAGCACTTTGGGGAGGCCGAGGCTGGCCAATCACCTGAGGTTGGGAGTTCGAGACCAGCCTGACCAACATGGAGAAACCCCATTTCCACTAAAAATACAAAATTAGCCAGGCGCGGTGGTGCATTCCTGTAATTCCAGCTAATCGGGAGGCTGAGGCAAGAGAATCGCTTGAACCCAGGAGGTGGAGGTTGCGGTGAGCTGAGATTGCACCATTGCACTCCAGCCTGGACAACAAGAGTGAAACTCTGTCTCAAAAAAAAAAAAAAAAAAGTTGCCTATCATAATCTTATCTTTTCTGATTAATATCTGTTCTATGGACACAAAACTGAGTAAACCACTTTTCATCATCTGTGCATCAATTTTAGTTGCACAAATGTTTTGTAATTATCATGTTGTATATGCAGTAAAAAATTGTTTAATAAAAGCACTAAAATCCACCTAATAAAACATGCAAAACATCTTGATTTTAGGGAAGCAATAGTCTAGGTATAAGAAACGATCAGAGTTTGGATCTAGGTTTTATGAAAATGTGTATGACTGATGGTAAACATTTTAACCTATCCTTGCCATAATTAGTTTCTCTTTAAAGTGGAGATACATTGTTCATCAGAGAATATTGACTGATGCAGTCACAATTTAGAACAGGGTGAATTTTTCACTAAGAGTGAATGCAATAGGAAAGACTCCAAAATATTTTGCCTACATGTTTCTAATATGGAATCTAAAGTTCTTCTTAAGTCATACAGATTCTTTTTTTAAAATGAAGCGAAAAGTAGTATGATCTAAACTTATCTCCAGCCATTTCCCTTCTGTCTTCTTTTCCTGTGTCATCATCAGCATAGTTAAGGTTATATACTTGGCTTTTAATAAATATTTGTTGATTAACTGGAAAACATTTTGAATCATTAACTAGATGGAGGACATATCTTAAGACAGCTTTTCTTTTTCTATTTACTTTATCAGGGACACACAAAGAAAATGAATTTTTTCAAAGTTGGAAAACATTTTACAGTGGTGGACATGCCAGGTTATGGCTTTAGAGCACCTGAAGATTTTGTTGACATGGTAGAGACCTATCTAAAAGAACGAAGGAAGTAAGGAAAAGATTTTCTTATAATAGTTATACATTTAACCCCAAAGCATGTTTTCATCAGTAGAGTATTATACACATGATTAACACTTCAGTTTTATCAAATGACTTATTTTATAAGGTCCATTTTATTCTCATAATATTCTATAATACAATATTTAGGACCAAGGTATATACTGCTTGCTTGTTTTCTGTCTGTGGTTTAGCTTACCCTTAATATTAAATTTAAGTGTTTTCCCAAATTGAGATTGAGAGTAAAGTGTACTTCAGCATTTTTTTTTTCATTTTTTTTTTTGAGACAGTCTCGTTCTGTGACCCAGGCTGGAATGCAGTCATGCAATCTAGGATCACTGCAACCTTCTTCTCCAGAGTTCAAGTGATTCTCCCGCCTCAGCCTCCTGAGTAGCTGAGACTACAGGTGCACGCCACCATGCCCGGCTCATTTTTGTATTTTTAGTAGAGACAGGGTTTCACTGTGTTGGCCAGGCTGGTCTCGAACTCCTGACCTCAGGTGATCCACCCGCCTTGCCCTCCCAAAGTGTGAGATTACAGGCATGAACCACCGCACCTGGCCCATTAATTTTTTTTAAAACCAAACTCTTACCTGGCTAATTTTGAAAATGAAAATTGTTGGTTAAAATCAGTAAATTCTGATCATTCTTAAAATACTTCAGACATCACATTTGCTGCAAATGATATCTCTTTTTTGTCTCCTTATGTAATCAAGTGATAGTTCTAAGAATTGCACAATATATAGAAAATTGATGTTAATCTTTTGAAATGAAAAAAATGTATCTTGTTTGTTGTAGCTTTACATAAGGGGTAAAATCAAATATTTACATAAAATGCAAGATATAATGTGTCTGGTTTCTGTTATCTGTTAGTGTTAGGGTAATATTTAAAAATTCCCATATAGACCAGGCACGCCGGCTCACGCCTGTAATCTCAGCACTTTGGGAGGCCGAGGTCGGCGGATCACTTGAGGTCAGGAGTTCGAGACCAGCCTGGCAACATGGCAAAACCTCAACTCTACTAAAAATACAAAAAAAAAAAAATCAGCCAGGCATGGTGGCACATGCCTGTAATCCCAACTCCTCAGGAGACTGAGGCAGGACAATCACTCAAACCCAGGAGGCAGAGGTTAGTGAGCCAAGATTGTGCCACTGCATTCTACCCTGGGCAACAGAATGAGGCTCTGTCTAAAAAAACAAAAAAAAAAATTTATAACTTATGGTTAATTTTTTATAATTTATGGTTCCTATAATTTATAATCTGTAATTTATGGTTAATTTGATTTGTATCTCTTTCTCCTCCTCGAGTTTAAGCTTTTAGAGGAGGGAACTCACTCATTATATATCAAGTCCCAGGCAGAATGTCTTATATCCAATATATCCTTATTGATTTAAATTAATATTTAGTGAATTTAGTTATTGAAAGTAAATAGCATTGAGACCTACTGGACTGCAGGATAAACTTCTGGCAAATTGAGAATTCCTGTTGCCTAAAGAAATGTTTTAATTTTGGAATGAGAATTATTCAAAGAAGAATTTCTTAGTACAGTAAGGAAGAGGGGATAAATGAATGGGTATATTTTATATTGCCATTAATCTTCTTTTCTACATGCTTATAGCTTGAAGAGAACATTTTTATTAGTGGATAGCGTTGTTGGAATTCAAAAAACAGACAATATTGCCATAGAAATGTGTGAAGAATTTGCATTACCTTATGTGGTAAGTACTTCCTTTGAATCATGGTTGCAATTAGAAATATCAGTTCTACGTGCATCTGTGTGAACATGCACCTTTTAACAATTGAGCTTGTGTTGCCTCAAAAGATAAAGGAGAGTGCCTTTTGAATAATCTTTTCAATTAATCATCCATTAATATTAAAAGAAGTTCTATGGCACTTTTATTCTCTTTTCTGTCACTCAGCTATGTTTTGAAAATTATAGTCAAAGTAAAGGTTTCTTTAGGCTGTTCATTTAATGTTCCTAGATACTGTTCATATTTTTTTCTTTTTATGGCAACATAAACATTTGTTCAGAAAAAGTTAGTAGCTCTTTAACAGCAGCGTGGCAGATAGTACTTATAAGAATGTGAATAAAACTGCAACTTAAAAAGTTGCTTAACTAATTTAAAACTTTAAAATTGTTCCAGGAACATAGCAGCCTCCAGCACACACAAGTAGGATTTTTATATTTTTAAAGCAAACAAAATTTCTTCTGGGAATTTCTTACCAGTATTCTTGGTCTTTTGACCTAGACTAGAATACCAGAATTGTAGATTGGTATCCACATTAATTTTGCTTTGTGAGACTTCCAGAAAAAATGGCACTCTTAAAGTTTCTTTCCAAAGAAAAGTGAAGAACCCAATAACTAATTTGCTTTCAAAAAGATGTCAGCCACTAATATGTAACAGTGGAGTTTAGTACAAATCACACCAAATTACTAGTCAGCCACTTTTGTTTTATTCTTGGGGTCTTGGAATTCTTGGGGTCTGCAAAAGCCCTATGAAGCATTAGAGATGATTTATAGTTATGAGAAGTCAAAGGATTGATAGTCTGCCTAGTAAAAATGCCTAAATATTGCCAAACTAAATAATAGTATTCTTTATTTGGTATCGCAGATACTAGTTTATGAAATCATATATTTTCCTCAATTTTAACTGAAAGGAAATATTACTTTCTTCGTTGGAAAAGGAATTGGAATAGAAAAGTTATATCTGTATCTCCTTTTAAATATCAGAACATTTGCCTTTATGAGGAAAGACTCCCATTTGCGGAGGGGTTCACAAGTCATTAGAAACCACACACTTTCTGCTTCTCACTGTGGGAAAAACACTGGAACCATGTTTTTCCTCTGCTCTCATACCACAACAATTAACACAGAAGACTTCTGTGGCTAAATGTGTAGGGGTTTTTGTCTTCACCAACAACCAGTGGACACAATCCCACAGATTGAGGATTCAGTCCCCAAGACGACTCCTCCCACCCGGCTTCAGACACTAGTCACAATTTTGGGCCTCTAGAATATCTAGACTGGCTTCAAGTTGGGGTTCCAACTACCCCCTCTTTGGGTTTAATTGCTGGAGTGGCTCACAGAACTCAGGGAAACATGTTTTCTGATGGTATTATAAAGTATATTACAAAGGATATAATGAAGATGCACAGAACCTCCATGTCCTCCTTGGGCATGCCACCCTTTGGAAACCTACCTGTGTTCAGCTATTTGGAAGCTCTCCAAACCCAGTCTTCCTGGGCTTTTATGGAAGCTTCATAACATCAGCATCCCTTCCCCCAGGGTATGAGGTGGGACCCTCTCTGGAATGAGGGTCATATGACCACAATCAGAAAGGTGAGAGAAGATTACAAGTCTTGTCTTGGAGCAGGTGAATGGAAGGCAGGAGGTCAGAGAGATTTTGTTTCCTGATGCCTAACATATCCAACATTATAACAAATGATCGTAACAAGGGCTATGGGAGTTATGAGAAAGGAACCATGGACATAAACCAATATATGTATCATGACACCACACTCCTGCCATTAGCATCTTTTATGACTAAAAAGCATGATTTGCCAGGAAATTTAATTTTACAGAAACTCACCAGGAATATCTGGTGGATTAAGGTTTTATTTTTAATTGATTTTTGTAATAATCACCCATACTTTGACCTTTCTGCACTATGTTACTTGTCTCTGGACAAGTAGAATTCTGGACTTACTTGGAATATAACTAGTAGATAGAACCTACAAATAGCCTGATTTCTGATTTTTTTCTTTAGAGTATAGGTCAAAAAATGATTACAAATTGGCAATTTTGTATAGATAAACCCAATATTCATTTATATATCTTAAGCTATCAGGTATATTGTGATCATATGAACAATTGCAAATATAACTCCAGGACCCTTCTCATTGATCTTTCCAAGATATTGTGGCCCTATGTGGTTAAAGCACCATTAAGCAGCAGACATACAGTGTATACTTGATGTGTTTCACACATTTGCTCATTTAATCTTTTCAGCTACCCCTTTATGGGTCATTATTTTTATTTTATAGATGAGGAAATAGGTACAGAGATAAATTTGCACGGGTCACCTAGTTGTAAATGAAAAATTATAGCTAAAATGTGTAAAATTATTAAGAACCACTTTATTTCTAATGCATAAAAATTTGTTTTCTTATAGATTGTATTAACAAAAATTGACAAATCTTCCAAGGGACATCTTTTAAAACAAGTGCTTCAGATCCAGAAATTTGTTAACATGAAAACTCAAGGATGTTTTCCTCAGTTGTTTCCTGTAAGGTAAGAGTTGAATTGTTTTGTTTTTTGTTTTTTATGAAGTAATCTTGAGAATGTTGTGGGTTTTTTTTTTATTTCGATAGTTTTTGGGGAACAGGTTTTTGGTTGCATGGAAAAGTTCTTTAGTGGTTATTTATGAGATTTTAGTGCACCCATCACCTGAGCAGTGTACACTGTACCCTATGTGTAGTCTTTTTTCGCTCACCCCTCCCACCTTTCCCCATGAATCCCCAAAGTCCATTATATCATTCTTATGCATTTGTGTCCTCATAGCTTAGCTCCCACTTCTAAGTGAGAACATACAGTATTTGGCTTTTTATTCCTGAGTTACTTCACTTAGAATAATGGTCTCCACCTCCATCCAGGTTGCTTCACATGCCATTATTTTGTTCCATTTTATGGCTGAGTAGTATTACATGGTACATAAATACCACATTTTCTTTATCCACTTGTTAGTTGAATTGTTTTTATAACGTTATGTACTGAAAACCTGTAATATTATCAGTGTTTCTTAAAGTGTCACTTAAAACTAGAGACATTTGAAGGCCAGGTGCCATGGCTCATGCCTGTGATCCTAGCATTTTTGGGAGGCCGAGGTGGGCAGATCACCTGAGGTCGGGAGTCCAAAACCAGCCTGGTCAACATGGTGAAACCCCATCTCTAGAAAAATTAAAATAAAAAAAAAAATTAGCCAGATGTGGTGGCACATGCCTGTAATCCCAGCTGCTCGGGAGGCAGAGGTTGCAGTGAGCCAAGATCACGCCATTGCACTCCAGCCTGGGCGACAGAGTGAGACTCTGTCTCAAAAACCACCACCACCACCAAAAAAAACTGTAGTATATCCATACCTGAGAAACATTTTGGCTGATCTCCATACGGACGGACAGACGGACGCACAGATGGATATAGGAAGACAGATAGATAAATAATATGTACAATAATGGTGATGGTAATTTTTTTAAAACCTAAAAAGTCTAACAAGGTAATTGAATATTTATTACAAAAAGAACAAACTAAAGAGATCAAGACTTATTCTGGAAAACAAAGCAAAATAGAAGATATAGTGAAATTTTTGGAATCATGAAGGAAATGGATCAGATAATATTGATCATCAGATTTTAGAATACTACAAGACGCGGCTGGGGGAAGAGAAGAAAGCTAGAACACATTAAAAGATGTTCTGCTTTCATATATGAAATCATAAGAATTTGTAAATTTTTTTAAGTTGATGAATTCAGATGTTATATCTGAGGAAAGGAAGAAAATTATTTCTCTTTTCTTTTCACAGTGCTGTGACCTTTTCTGGAATCCACCTGTTGAGATGCTTTATAGCCAGTGTAACAGGAAGTCTTGACTAATGGTTCCCGGTTTAGCTGAAGATTCAAAAAAAAAAAAAAAAGCTTTATGCTAACTGGAGTTAAATACCTAGAAGAATTTCAACATTGTTTTAAATGTTGTGCATCTGTAACTTCAGGAGGATCACTTGAGCTTTAAAACCTGTGCCTTCTCGAAACAAGAATTTGTGCCTGAGGTGAAAAAAGTTTGTAAGTTATTGAATTATGGTGTTCATTAGAACAGCTACTAGCTGATTCCCCTATTTTAACAAACTGACAAGAGCACATCCATAAAATGAAAACCTGTTACAACTATGTACAGAAGGGTTTGACGTTTTATTGGGCTTTTGTCTTTTAAAGAATATGTCTACTATGGGTATTTTTTTTTTAAATGTTAAAATGGGCTAGGTAAAAGGGGGCTGCTTTTCTGTTAAGCATCGATAGGTAAGTTGATGGATAAAAGTTACTATGTAAGCCTATTTTTTTGAGTCCTTATTTGAATATTGAAAACATTCTTGATAAAATGTGTTAGTCCATGTTGGAAACAACCGAAAGAACAGAATTCAAGTTCTAGTTCTGATGTTTATTATATATGTTGGATCTTGGGCAACTTACTTGATTTCTCGGAAATTCATTTGTTACTGTAAACGTGAAAGCTATTAAGATTCAAATGAATGGTTTTACAGCAGGTAACATGTGAGAAGACAGCTACATATTTGTAAAGCCAAACCAACAAAGAAATATAGCAAAATTCACAGGTAGATTTATTACAAGAAATGTCCTTTCATGGGGGAAGTAACATTTTCACTAGTGAAAAAGCAAAAAACAAAAATAGCTTTAAGTGAGAAAACTAATTTGTAAAGGGCAAGAGAAAAAAGCTGATGGGACAGTTTAGACTGCTACATTTAAGATTCAGAATGGAAAAATAAAGCCTTTGAACTAAAGTTAATAGAGAAGATTTTTGTGAAGGTGCCACTAACCTATTCATGTAAGTGGCTTAGGTTTTCAAAGTGAAGCTTAATATTAAAAGGTTATAGCTGTATTGCTGGATAACAAATTAAAGCTATAAACCAACTTCGTGGCTTTTCTTTAGAAAACAATCTGAATATATTGTCAGTTTTATAGTTGACAGAATTGGTCTAATCTAAGCAGGAATGTTTTCAGCCAAAAAAAAGATTTTTTAATATAGACATTCATAAAATATATAGTAACAAAAGAATTATCTTAGAAGTCATCTTTTTGTCTGCCAGTGTTACTTCACTGCTTTGATTTATCCTTGGTTCTCCTATAAGCAGAGCCTGAGCCAAAAGCTTACATATGTAAATTTGGGAAGTGATCCCAGGGAACAGTGGCAAAATGAAACAAGACAGACAAGCCTATTAACAACATATTCATTGAGTTAGCCAAAACATAGGCACTAGTGCTAGATCTTGAGGGAACTTGTGACAAGTCCTAGGAAATATGTGTTGTATAGTGACCAGGTCTATGCAACCTACCCCCAAAGGCTGAGAGTGCTGAGATGCCAAAGAAAGAGGCCAACAAATCCAGTTTGTCAGAAAGAAACATTTAATAGGGACTTATGCACAGAAGCCATGTCTCAGGCAGTGATCCCCACAGTTACCCCCCGACCCAGGGCTTATATGCCATAGAGAAAAGGGGGTACATGAAGGAACATGTGAGACACTGAAGTCACCTCCTCAGGGAAAGGCAAGAATGCTGTTTACAACTTAGCCTATAACTTGCTTAAGGCCAGGATTTACAGTGTGTGTGTGTGTGTGTGTTCTTTTAATAGATAAAAGTAGAAATCTTAGAGGGCATTCCAGGAACTGGTTATCAGAAGTCAACATGGTAGATTAGCATCCAAGATGGAAGTTACTTTAGCCTCATACTGTGCCTGTGAATTTCTTTGAGGAGGGGATGGGGTGGCCCCACACCTCTTCCAGGTTGTACATACCCAAGTGCTAGGCAGTTCCTGTAGCTGGTGAGAAGCCCAGGGGCAGGAAGTGAGACATCCCCAGAGCAAGAGGCAAGGTTCAGCCCTGCTTGAAACTGGTTGCCACAGCAGTGACTTTAGTATGAAGGCCAAGAGGATTGGAAGTGACACACAGGAGGTCTCAAACACTGCTCTTATAAATGGCCTGTGTGTCCTAATGCCATCAGAAGTGATAAAGTTGGTACTAGGATGTGGGTAATCCCAGCACTTTGGGAGACCAAAGTGGGTGGATCCCTTGAGTCCAGGAGTTTGAGACCAGCCTAAGCAACATGGTGAAACCCTATCTCTACACAAAGTTTTTAAAAAATTAGCCAGGGCATGGTGGTGCCTATAGTGTCAGCTACTCAGGCGGCTGAGGTGGGAGAATAGCTTGAGCCCAGGAGGTGGAGGGTGCAGTGAACTGAGATCATACCACTGTGCTCCAGCCTGGGCAACAGCACAAGACTCTGTCTCAAAAAATAATAATAATAATAATTCACTACGATGACCCTGACAATAGTTTCTAATCTCATTTACTAGGTAAGTTACAGTTTGGTATACTTTAGATTGCATTTTTTTAAATGTTAAATATTTGGATTTATTTGGAAAAAGTAACTGATACAGAATACTGAATTCCTTATAAACATACAAATTGTCATTTTGTGGACACATGTGAAGCTTTTTTGCCATTTTCCCAGAATAGTAAAGGGCAGAAGATGGGAAAATGAGAGGAGATGAAGATACTCCAAAAGAACATGAATGAATTTGGAAACAAATGCTAGACTGGCAGCCCAGTCCATGCTATATTGTCCTTAACTCACTGAACCACCCTGGTTTTTCCAATGAAAGATAAGCTCCAAAGTTTATTTCAGCTATAAAAGTTTCATTCTTGAAAAAATTCCACTTCAAATCCAGAAACCTAAGCCTGAGGAAACTGACTAGCTCAGTGAAGCCACAAGTAGGAGAAGCAAGACTGAACCTTAAATCTCCTAATTCCCAGGGAGTTTTTTTCTGAATCAGCTAAATGAAGTATTAAAAGAGGCTACTTAGGGGACTGGGTGCATGAATATAGACAACTCTCAGCAAATAAGCCCTATGGTCCACAAAGCTATACACCAGTTCTCTTACTAATTTACCTTCTATTTCCCAATAGGTAAAGGATATTCATTGAACACAAGGACACTTAGAAGTTAATGGCCATTTCTAGACTTGTCTAGAATGAAATCTCCTTGGTATTGTCTGTATTTTAAGGCACTAAATGGATACTACCACTTGGTAGAAAGCCAAAAGGAATATGAAAACTGACTACAGATTAAGAATTAAACCAGTTTACTTAAGGCTTCAGGAGAGAAGCTAAAGTAGTGTTTATATAACTGGATTTGGGGGCCACCTGGATCAAAATCACTTGGGCTCCATGTTAAAAATGCAGGTTTCTGGCCCCTGTTTATCAGTCTCTGGGAAAGGGCTAATCTGCATCTTTTAGCAACCCACCAGGTGATTCTCAAAAAGTCTAAAGTTTGAGAACCACTGGTAGAGATAACTGAGAAAATGGAGAAGGCAGACAGGGAAAGAACAAAGCCAAATAAAGAATGGAAGGGAAATAACTTCTGTTATGATAGGGTGGCTGAGGAAAAGAAGGATGCGGTACATACTAAGGTACTACTTTCTTTTTCTTTAAATCTCTATGTAACAAAAGTTAAGGGCACTAGAGAAGCTTAATAACCTAATTCTAGTAAAGTTAGAACATTGGAAAGATACCTACCTCAAACTTCACATCATTATTTGAAAATACTCAAGATGTACTCCCCTCAGAGCAACAGTACGAGCAACATCCCCTATCAGATGACAGCATCAACACCAAATTATAAATGTTCTAGCCTCATTCCTGGGTCTACTTTGTATCTCCTAACCTCATTTTTTCATTTTACTTTCTCATCTACCTGTTATCCTATTATATTTCATATGTAACCATAAACCACCTTATTGCCTTTTTGTAAAAAGGTTTATTTGGAATCAATCACTGGTACCCAAATAAATAAAATTAAAACGTTTTGGAGAACTCCAAACTCACTTTAATATGAGATAAGCCAAGCAAATGAAGAGAAATAATGGTTGTAACCAGTCCCTGGTAATACAAGCAGTGGCAAACCTTGTTGATCAATTCCAACATATAAACAAGAAAACATAAATGTCAGGAGCTACAAACTTTAGTATTCAGAGGCGGACCTATGTATAATGGAGCCAATAAGACCAAATTGACCTTTCAGGTGTTTCCTTGCTATCTCCCACCCCCGCTCCTCATTTACCTCAAGACACAATGGTTTTTGCAAACGATTATTAAATTGCCTAGTAAGTCATAAAATTATTCAGTTTTTCAGAGACTTACTAGCCTCACTCAAGGAATTACATCTGCTTCTCAAGGGTAGGCTGTGGCAGATTTTTCATATTAACACCTGACATGTAGTTGAAGCCAAAAAAGAAATACTTGTTGATGAAATGACACAATGCTACTTTAAATGTAGACTGAACTGAAATGAACTCCTGTGCAATGCTGCACTAAAGCAGCTCCTCTGTGAGTCCAGGTGGTACTTCCAGATCTTAGCAGTTCTACTTAGAACACTGAACTAGCCTTGTTAATCACTTAAAAGTCTCACATATGAACGAACATCTAAACTCCCATTAAAGCAAAAATATCATCAATGTCATCTGTCTCCTTAATGGTTCCTGATGTACTGTTTTTATTTATTTGCATCACCGTCCACGAATCAGTTTCATTTTCATGGATGCCTCTAAGATTTTCATGAATCATTTTCTCCTTAGTTTGTATGACAGGCATTGAAACTCCACTATTCAAGAGCTGCTTACTGTTAGGGTAGAGATCAGTTCTATGCACAGTACAGTGTGAGAGTCTCCACTTAGCACTGGTATCTGTAGCACTCTTCCGAGTCCCTTGAGAGAACTGCTGAATTTCCCTTAAAAGAGTCGACTGCAACTTTCTCTGTGGTTTCCTTTGTCTCCGTAAAAATTTATTCTGTGATCTTCTCTGTCTCAGATGATGCTTTGAAGTTTTGATACCTGAGCCACGAAGAAGGTGGTTGCAAATAGACGTTTTTATGCACTCTAGTTTCTTTGGCAAACTTTAAAAGACAGAGAGAGGAAAAATCTGGGCTTAAGATGAGAAAAACATTCTCAAGCACTTTTAATTTACCAACTGAAAAGAAAAATACACAACTTATCTACAAGTCCTATGCCTGTGTACAATCCCAGAACCACATCGAAAAATTTCACCCCAAGTCTGTTTTTTGAGAGCACAAATGCCCTCTGATTGAAGTGTAGACGAATGTGTCCCCATTTTGCTTTCAAACTCTCAAAAGTACAGCCGCCTAGCAATTAGCTGAATGGCGAGATACCCTATACTTTAGTGTCAGAGCTTTTCCCTCATAACTGCTAATCTGTTCATAATGTAATGAGTGGACATGAGGAAACATCACAAATGAAAAAATCTGCCAGTACGTATTAATCCGAATCTGGATAATCAGCTTCATGCTGTGGCAGGAAATGAACAAGGAAAAAGGAATAAAGGCTAAGAGGGGTTTATAAAACAATATGAAGACAGGGCTTCTGGCCCAGATACACAGACAGCCTTAAGCTACCCTAATTATGATTCATATGTCATCTTCAAGTTTGGAAATTCAGAAATCAAACAGCTGATCATTTTAGGTGTTTTGCTTCCACACACGGTACACTGCCACAAGGTTCATCAGTGCCTTGCTGAATTGTTTCACTGTTTGTGATAGATTTTAAAAGACGGGCATGGATATAAAACTTTGAGGAAGCCCATTATAATAAAGTAAATCATGATCTTTGCTTCCATACCATTTTCTTATCTCACTATAAGCAGTGGCTTTTAAGTGGGGAGAAGGTGGGTGTACTTCAGAGTTGAAAGGAAAACAGAGGGCCTGAACTGAGTTCCACATCTAACCCCTTGAGCAAAATCCTCCATTTACCCATCTATGAAATGGGAATAATACTGTCTACCTCACAATGTTATTATGGACATTAAATAAATTATAAAGTTTACTACAAATATATTAATGAAACAGCAAAACAGGGCAATCTATGAAGGAGCACTATATCTGGGGGAGTACTGAGTAATGGTTTAACCAATAAACACCAGTTTGCTACCCTTCTCATTAACTTTTAGTTGTTACCTCTGCCTCATCTACCCTTGATTTTAAACCCAATTTTAAACAGAATGCTTCTCTCCATCTCAGGCTGCGTCTCCAGCCATAGGATACATCACTTTTAGATTATTACAGACCTTTAGAGGAGCCATCTCAATGTAAAAACCCCTCAAGCACTTTATCCCTCAGGAATATTCAACCACTTTCCCCATAGCTTTTAATCAAAATGTGTTACAAAACCCTCACTGTATACTTTTTTTTTTCTAAAACAGGAATATATTTTATGCAAATTTTAAAAGAAAATTTAACAAATTTTCAATACGTGGTTCATCCCCAGGAATGAACTTTAAATCCCTGAATAGCTCTAAACTATGGATAAGAAATTATGGGGCATGCACAGGATATTTGTTAAAGAATACAATAAAAAACAGGTCAGAATAATTGCCTCTGTGAAGGTGGAATAGGCTCTTAATACATATTTGTGTCTGAAATCATTACCGTTAAGCCCTGAAGTGTCTAATGTCTAAATTCATGTAATACTTCATGCAATACTGGTTCACAAGCAAAGATAAGCACCCTTAAACAGTTGTGAATATAAAAATCACAGAAAAGAAATATAGATAGAGTCCAGCTGCTACAAACAGTAGCAAGTAGCAACAGTACAACACCCCAGCAGTCTTGTGTGGGCCTCATGGAAGGCAGGCACCTTCTGCTTCTGCTCTCATGCCCTTATCCCACTGCACTGCACTGAAGCTGTCTGCAGAAGGGCTGCCTTTCCCAGAAGACCCTGAGCTCCCTGAAGACCAAGTCACGTCTTTATGCAGTTGTATCCTCAGGCTCAGCACACTAGACACTCTTAATGGTTCCTGAATGAGCTGATGGAAATGATGAAGAGCATAACGGGGACTGAAGTCCAATTAACTTGTTTATCTTCTTCCTCCAATGATACAGCTTTGCTCTTACAATAAAAGCAGCAAATGCAATTGCAGTTTGAGTACATCCCAATTTAGCCCCGCTGCGGCTGCTGGACATCACATTTTAAAGAAAAGTGACCTGAATACTTTTACTCATAACAACAACAGAAAAAGTAAAGTAACATAATTTTTGCAATATACCTACCTAGTACCTTGAGCTTCCAGATGTTTAAGCCGGTTGCTTTTAAGAAGTTTGTTACCCAGAAAAATGGCCTGAGCCTTGAGTTTTTTGCTCCTGCACCATACAACTGCCATCTGGATTTCTTCAGAAAGTTGTGTGAAGGACTCAGCCTCTCGGAATCTTTGCACAAAACTTTTGGCATGAGGAGTTCCTATCACTTTCTGAGAAGAATACTTGGTTGTCTTTAGTCTGGATTGAGAACATTTAAAATCAAAACTGGTCTCCTGAAACGTGGAAAGATGAGAAAAATATATTGGACATGTTACTGACTTGTAATTATATGACAACAAGGAAAGCTAGCTCACAATCAAAATTTAAAAATTAGAATTATCAGTCCCTAAATGCTTGAAGTGATGGATACCCCATTTACCCTGTGGTTATTATGCACTATATGCTTATAACAAAATACGTACCCCATAAATATATATACCTGCTACGTACCCACAAAACCTAAAAATTAAAAAAAAAAAATCAGTCTGTAAGGAAATTTTTTTGCTCACTAAGCTTTCCTTATGTCTTTAAAAACTGAATTTTTCTCCACTGCTCCAAATACAAGTTGTTTTGTTCCCCCTCTGTACCAGGACAGGTCCCATCTGCAGCTGAATTAGATTGACATAGGAAAGTTAACATAAATATCCTAACACACATATCTCACATACACAATAAAAAAACCCCACATGATTAAATACTGGTCAAAGCCTAATTGCAGAGGGTTGGGGGATCACTGAAAGGCCCCTCTTCGCTACACCACCAGATTATCACGACTTGTTTTTCACTTATTTCCGTATCCTGGGCAAACCTCCTCAATTTAGAAATGTTTCTGAAAACAGGGAAGATATGGGGCCCTGCAGAGTGCCCAGCAGAATAAGCCCATTAATCAGTTAATGCCTGCTGAATATCTATTAAAAATGCTCAATTGAGCAACACTTCCAATTCTACTTCAACCATCTTCTGACAAGGCACCTTTACTTCTTCAACCCCTTCTTTCTATATCAAGTCACATTTGGATTTTACTAACGTTTACTATTTCTTTATGAAAATATGCTGCCTACGAGATGATCTGCTCTTTCATTCAAAGCTTACCTTCTTCCAAATTTCTTACACTCAAAAGGAACTTTAAAAAAAAGTAGAAAATATAAAAGTAATGACCCAGGTCAATAGTTTATGTTTGGTGATCAATAGAAGTAGTTTGCTTTAAAGCTAAGCAAGTTAGTGCTATTTGCTAAAAATATAGTAGCAGTTAGTTTTGAGTAAGAGGGATGCTGACCCACCAACTTCAAAGCCAGCTCACCTACAAACAGGTGCACAGGCTGCAGAAGTTTCAAGGTTCACAAAGCACCATAGTTCTTGAGATACAGTTGAAAAACTGTTCTGGGGACTGGTGAATAGTAAAGAAGAAAGACTATGAAACCATACTGCCTGCATTCAAATCGCAGCTCTACCATTTATTCACTATGTGGCCTGGCAGTTTCTTGGCCTTTCTATGCCTCAGTTTCCTCATCTGAAATATGAAAACAGTAATAAGCATGCCCACCTCACAGAGCTTTTGTGATATAATTACATGACTTCATGCATATAAAAGCACTTAGAACAATGCCTGGCACAGAAAGTATTACTCCTCACTCTGAATTCATAAATTGGACAGAACATCAATGGAAGCTGGAGTCCTTAAGTTCAAGAAAATATGTTTAAGAATTCTTAAATAAAAGAAGTAAACTAACCCATGAAAAATACCAGAAGTAGACATTTTGCAAAGACAGGGTTAAAAAAAAAAAAAAGTCAAGTTACTGAGTAAAACAGTAATGCCGATGTACTTATATGCTGTTAGGTCCAGAACAAACAGAATTTACAGACATTAATCAATCATGTTAAAACTTGAACCTCAACAGGAGTAAAGGAATAGCTTCATGACAAAATGATGAGGATGATGACCAAAATGACCGTAGCTAATAACATCTAACTCCAATTAAATGCTTACCATACTCCAGACTACCGAACGCTTTACATGCATTAAAACTAGCACAACCCTATGAGGCACATATTACTATTACAAAATAGAGGTACGGAGAGATCAGGAAACTCACAGAAGGTCACACAGCTAGTACCAAAGCCAGGATTCAAACCAACTGTCTGACTGCAAAGCCTATACTCTTAAGCTGCAGTACAATCCATACTTAACAACAGATCTTACGGTTACTTTAAAATTCTAGAGAAACTCCTACTAAAATATTTCTGAAGGTACTCTATTAACTGAATTAACTAGATGTATTAAAAATCCCTTGCCTCTATTCATTCAGAAGCACACACTGACAACTAAGAAGGCACTAAGCTTAGAGCTGGGGATAAAATGAAAAGATTCAATCTCTGCCCTTGGTAAGAAGCATCCTCTACAAATTAGCAGAAATCATAAGCTAAATTTAATGAAGCCAGACAAACCTGAGTAGCTTTGTGTTTCAGCTGGTTGCAGAAAGCCCTCACATCAAATTCTGATGACTCTTCTGTGGAGGTGGAAAAATTGCAGATACAAAACCTTAGGCATACTATTTTCAAATCTACAACAAATTCTTAAGTGCATGACATTTCTTGCCAAATTACCACAAAATAAAGGAATAAAGCAAGCAAATAACTAGGAAGCAACTACAGAAACAAATAAACAACTTAAAGTACTCAAGCTTAGAAAGCACAGGTATTACCATACCTCTCTAATCAATATGAGTCAAAATTAAGATGTGAGATGTTGAATTTCTTTCTATGCAATGCATGACTATTACTTTCAAAAGGTTTCTTTTTATTTGTTTTTTGTTTTACTAGAGTATGTGCTGTATCAAAGCAAATTACCTTTGAAGACTCTCTTATTCTTTACTGGCTGTCCAAGATCCACATTATTCTGTACATTGATCTTCATTTGTTTAGCTTTTTTTGAAATTCCAAGCAAGGTTTCTTCACTGGCTCTTGGTGACTGCTCATTTATTAAAAACAGTTTATTTAGCAATTTATTTATTCCTTTAGCTGCAAAAGCTATAGGCATTTTTTTCTTAAAGGCTTCAAAATATGGCTGTCCTAAAAATTCAGTGATATCAGAAGGAAAGGTAAAATCTTTGAAGTAAGGCATTGGTTGAATCCTAGCGACCTCTTGAAGCAATCCAAACAAAGGCTCATATAACAAAATCAACCTTTTTAAGACACCTTTATAGAGAACCCTAGAGAAAGAAATAGGAGCTCATTAATTAGCCAGTAATTACAATTTGCAGATTACATAATAAACTGCAAGATTGAAAGCTGAAAATAAATGGCTATCAAGGTCCTCCAGTACAGATAAAAAACACTATAGTGCACACTTGCGAACAGCCAGATTAGTCCAACCCAACAGAAAAATCCAAGTATAAAATGTTACTCAAAAAACTGTAAGACAGTCTACCAGGAAAGATATATATATATTCAAAAAGTACTACATGGAGAAATGTACAAAAGGATGCATATCAAAGTTTTAAGTGTGGTAGATGGTGAGATTTTAGGCAAATTTCAGGTTCTTCACATTTCTCTTTTTAAATTTCTTAAAACAGGCATGTATTATAATCAGCAAAAATTAAAGCTATTTTCATTACAGAAGAGAGTATCAAAGGTTTAGCATTTTAAAATAATATGATTAGTAATCAAACATTGTTACCTCTGATTAAGAATAAGTAGAATAAAAAATAAAACAATAGGAAATACTATTTGAGATATCCAGGTTAAGATATCAAAGCAAGGTTTTCAATCTCTAAACACAGAAACTTTTTTTCTTTTCTCCATCCAATGTTTTCTTACATTCATATTAGAACTAATAATCTTAATTGTTTGAAATGGCCCAAAACAGGCCTTCTTACAGATACGGGCAAATTCTAATTATCCATCAGATCAGTTTCACAATATGTACTGAGAGACATGAAAGAGATGTCTCTTTAGTTTCCAAGTATTACCAGCATACATCAACTAAATATGCTCAAAAAAGCAGTGGTGTTTGAGATGGAAGAAAATAGTCTAGCACATAAGAAGGTCAAAAATTGCATTTATCATTGCCATTAAAAATTAGAAACCGAGTGACAGAAAGAATCAAGTGATACAGCCAGCCCAGGATTAGCATCATTTTAAACGGCCTGTTGCAATATGACTACTACCAACAATTTTTTATTACTGCAATTCCCAGTCACAGGCATTAATTTTTTTAATGTTCAGTAAAAGCCCACTGATGTTTCACTACAACCTACCATGACCCAGATTTCAGTGTGACACCAGTCACTCCCGATTTTTTTAGTTGTTCAGTGATTGGGCTGATCTTGTGGATTGAGATACAAAGCCTACTCCTTTGATACAGCCATCAGCACTCGGCTTCCCAATCTACCCTCAAAAAACTCTGATCAAACCAAGAAAGAGAATACCTGCACCTTCCATAACCCCATAAGAAAATAAGTTTGAAAACTACTAATAAGAAACCTAGGCTGAAAGGAGATGAGAAAGAAATGAAGGATGTCAGAGGTATGTACATACCATAACCTGCTCACCAGCCCAACCATCACAAGGTTTAAAATAATGAACTCTTGCAAACCTAGATGTTTCACAGTCAAACTGGAAAATCAATTTAAGGTAGAAAACAAAATCAAAGTAATGTGGGTTTTGTAAGTTACAATCATGAATGAAGAAATATATTGGAAGTAAAGAGAATTTTCTTAAAGGTATTAAAGCCTTAAAACACATTCTATTTAAGAATTTAAAACTTTAAAATATGGTTATAAACACTCTGCTAGAGTTCCCATTATTAAATTTAGTTCTTAAAGTTTAGTTTCTAAGATTAAGAATTTCTAGCTATCAATGCTCTTAGGATAATACGTGCTGAACAGTGACAGGCAGTCTCTGGCAATGGCTGCATCAGGCAATTCCTGAGAAAAGGAGGCCAAGAAGCAAAAGTTTAAGAATTCCTGTAGGTTGTAACTCCTATGGAGTGTTAGCTTTCAAACAAAAATACTGTTAAAAATATCCAAACAATTCCAAATCAAAAGAAGGTATATTTCAAGATATTCAAGGATACAGAAAAGTTTTGCAGCAGCAGTCCAACAAGCGGAGCAACAACTTGCAGGCTCCCAAAACCTTCATCAACACCAACTCCACCACTGGCTGACTGGGGACAACACATACTTTGGTAGTTAAGGGCTGATTTTCACTTGAAAAAAATAGAAAAAGTACATTACTTTCACTTAAAAAAAAAGGGTTTTTTTTTTGTTTTTTTTTTTTTTACATTTACCAGTTTATTATAAAGGATATGACAAAGGATTGAAACAAAGAGATGCATAGGGCAAGGTATGGCAGAAGAAGCACAGAGCTTCCATGTCCTCCCTGGGCGACCCTTCACATTTTCAGCTATGTGCAAGCTCCCATTACTTTCATTTTTAAATATAAAGCATTTCTATAGCAGTTTTCAAGTGAAGACTTGCTTTAAGCTCAACTTGAGGTAGTTAAGCACAATAACAGCCCACTGATGTTTTAATATAATCTACCATGACCCAGATTTCAATGTCACACCAGTCACTCCCATAGATCAATGTCAGAAGATTACCACAAACACCAGGTACCCCACATTAAAACAAAATTTATACAGCTGAGGTATAATTGGTTATATTCCAACAGCAAGCATAGAGAAATCCAAAGGGAGATCACAAGACATTGAGTTCCCAGCCCACCACATCACAAAGCAACTGGACCACTTACTTACTTGGAAGAAAACAACTCAAACAGGTCTTGAATTGAGCCCTCCAAATTCATGTTTTTCAAACGCTTTAAACATTGCTCAACCTGAAAGAAGAAGAGCAGTTCAAATTCATGTGTATGTAATGCAGACAGGGTCACTGATTATGACCAGGAAAGCAAAGACTTCTAGATTTTCAAAGTATGGAAATATGCTAAATATCACAGAATACCTTATTTTTTTTCAGGGTAGAGAAATCCAAAGCGCAAGCAATTGCTTCTAGTTACAAATTTGGAATTTATCCAGCCAAACACATTTTTAAAATCAGGTGACTCCTAAGAAATTAGTATATGCCACAATGAGCTTGATGTCATAAAAGGGACCAAAACGAGTATAGGTTATTCTCAAGATTATAATTTTGCTAAGACAAGATTTTTTTTTTTTTTTTCAGATGGAGTCTCACTCTGTCGCCCAGGCTGCAGTGCAGTGGCGTGATCTCGGCTCACTGCAAGCTCCACCTCCTGGGTTCACACCATTCTCCTGCCTCAGCCTTCCAAGCAGCTGGGACTACAGGCACCCGCCACCACGCCAGGCTAATTTTTTGTATTTTTAGTAGAGACGGGGTTTCACCGTGTTTGCCAGGATGGTCTCGATCTGGACCTTGTGATCCGCCCACCTCGGCCTCCCAAAGTGCTGGGATTACAGGCATGAGCCACCGCGCCTGGCCGACAACATGATTTTTAATAGTGAAACTATTAAAACAAGATAGAAAATTATTAACTACTAAATTTCAACAGTCTATAAAGTACCACAGAGATGAGGAAAACGATTGGCTTTAATCACTGAACAAATATATTCTTTGATTAGATGAAGCTTGTTCTTATGTTCCTCTGCATCTTCTCTCTTTCTCCCTTCTCTCTCTTGGGTTTTTTTTCTCTTTTGAACCGCAGTTCACTTACTATGTTTTCCAAGTGCTTTACCATCTGGGTTTGTCAATACCTCCCTCAAAGGATGGTGTCCAGACTTGAAAACTGAAAAAGATAGGAGCTGACCCTAAAGAATTTAAGGATTGTTCCCTCCATTATTCTTGAAAACCGCTGTTAAAACAGAATCCATAACCTTGGTTCAATTTCTAGAAGTATATTTGCAGCTCTGGCAAGATACTCTTGTTGCCAGTATCAATGCCCATCCAAATTTTTGTATCTGTCTAGATGCAGTCCCATGCTGCCCTTTGTGTGTTATTCCTGAGGACTACAGAATTCCTACAGCATTTTGTACCATGCATGGCTCTTACTTTTTTTAAAAAAAATTAAAAATCCTATTGAGTGCTTACTGAACACTGTTCTAAGAACTGGATTATGGTGGTAAACAAAAGGGACAAAATACATTGCCCTTGTGGAGCTTACATTATAGCTGGGAGAGAAAGGCAGTCAATCAATGGCAGGTGGTGTTAAGTGCTATGAAGACAAATAAGGCAGAGAGGGAGTGCTGAGAAGATTGCAATTTTAAATAGGGTCTGTTTTTATTTTAGCATTTAATTAAATATTTTACATGTCTTCCTATTTTTACTACTAGATTTTTAGCAACTAGAGATAGGGAAGTTTCTAATACCACTTTATCTGCCAGCATGCCCTACATGTACTCCACAGAACAGGAATCAAAACTACTTTCTGTGTTCCATTTAGGGGAATGTTTAGAGACAGGCCAATTCTAGTACTTACATGAAAGTTCTCTGAAAACTGTGAAATATTAAGCAGTTGTAAGGCAGTAGTAGAAGTGGTAATAGCAGCTGCAGCAGTAACATAAGCATAAAACATGTTTCCTACTTCAGGGATCACATGGAATATAAAATATATACACAAATAACTTTACCATGACACAGACTATATTAAATGCTATAAGTACAAAGAGGAGGCCCAAATAGCCAAGAATTTAAAAAAAAAAAAAAAAAAGCAACTTCAGTAATAATCAGAAAAATACAACTTAAAATGAGATTACTATAACACAGATTATCACTGCCAGAAAGGCTTAAAATGGGACTTAGAGGATAGGAAGGCCTTTAACAGGCAGACATGGTGAGGCTGGGCATTCTAAACATACAGGACCAGGTAAGCAGACTCAGAAGCAGGAACAAACATAGTGAGCATGCAGGTGTGTTGAGTCCAGGTTGGCTGGAATATAATCTATCTGAACGCAAGAGAGAAGCCCGAACTAAGAAGACTGAAGAGGCCAGATCACAGATCTCGTAAGCCAAACTAAGAAGTTTGGTCTTTACTCAGGACACAATGGAGAACGACTAAAAATCAAAGTTGTGTTTTCAGATGATTAACCTGGTTTTAATATTTAGAATATGCCAGAACTTAGGAAAAGCTGAAGGAGGAAACATCAGTTATGATAGTAAGACAACTAAAAGTTGACAAGGTCTAAGAAAGGAAAATGGCAGCCAGAACTGAAGAGGGGACCAGATGCAGAGGAAGTTTTGTCTTATGGACTGCCTGGATGGGAGAGCTACGTAAGAGAGAGAGACTAGAGAATGCCAAATTTTGATGACGGGGTGATTATTCACAACCCAGAAGCTAGAAGGAGAAATATATTCACTTTGAGGGTTAGCAAGCTTGCTTTTGGATCAAAAAGACTCCGAAAAAGATAAAAGCCACCCTAGAATGGAAAATTTAGGGAAAGACCATGGTCCCAGATCTTTCTTTGATGAAATCTTCACCCTGTTTGCTTTAAGTACTAGGGGTAGAAAACTAACCAGAAAGCATGCATCTATAAGGTTAGAGACTGTGTCTACCTTTTTCACTCCTCTATACACAGCACTAAGCAGAATGCCTGGCACACAGAAAGTTCAAAAACACTTGCAAGGTAGCCCTGTCACACAATGGATAGCCTTCTGAACTTCCAGAAAATACTTGCAGAATTAAGTGAATGAATGAATGAGCATATCAGGAAGCCAGCTTAAGAGAGGCTCTACTCTATGGTATAGCCCCTGAGCTGGAGGGCCCAATTTTGTCTTAAGCTCCAAACATTACATGAAACCAGTTTACACCACAACTTGCTATGTACCCATTTACTCTAACATACCACCAATTAGATTATGTACCCCATAATAAGTAGACAAGTTTTTTTAAAAATAATTTTAGCATTCTGATTATGCCCAGGGAACTGTTTCTTAATGTCCAACATTTTGTCTTGCTCAAATCACTTTATCTTTGAGCTGGGCAAAGGCACTGTTGTTATAGATTGTATATAATGAAGAAAATGTTTACTTGCCTATTAGAAACAAGACTGGGAAAGAATCTAAACATACTTCTTTTCTAACAAAAATTACTTTTTGAAATGCTGAAATGCTTTTAGGAAAAAAAAAGAAAGTGCACATGTAACTGTGGGCTATAGGCCTATAAAACACAAGTAATTTACTGAGATTTCCACGAGATTTCCATAAATAGCAATATAGTAAGTGGCAGTGTGATCTACATTTTCAAGTGAACAGGTTGGGTCTCACCTACCGGGCTTCCTCACCTGTTTGAGGGCCAAATGGGGTTTGTGGCGGCCCATTCTGTTGTGATTGCTGTAAAGGACTGCACATAACACATCTGTTTCTGCATCTAAGGTTTGGCTCTTCAGCGACAGTATGACGAGATGGCATTCTTTAATTACAGCTGCAATGCAAAGGTCTGAAGCAGAGACATCTAATAAGATTTAGTATGTATTTCTACAGTAAGTATATTATATTAAAAACACACTAAAAAAAGCATCTTTCCTTATTTGTTTTAAAGGAATCAAAAACTAATGTAATCAGTCTCAACTGTAAGAACGTAAGGATTCTAAGTATAAGAGAAGTTGGAAAATGGTAACAGATGATATAAAGTCCAGGAAATCATTAAGAGAACATCTGTAAAACAAGAAGCTGTATCTTTGCATTGCATTTTATCATGGTTTAATAATCTTTCATATGAATACTTTGCTGTCAGTCATTTGGTGTACACTTACGCCTCATGTGTACACTTAACCCCCACCTTGAAGGTAGGGCACATGTCACAACATGTGTAATAACTCTCTAACTCCCCATGTCGCTATGCCCGAAAGCAAGACAGAATGAATAAATTCACAGTCTTCAAAATCAAGGCTTCTGTGTTTGGATATCACTTTATGAGAGACACAAACATATTCAGAAAAGAAAAACCACCACAGTAACTGGAAATCGTATTATTTGATGAACACCGGGTGCTCATCAGCAGATGCTTCCTAGTCTGAAAATCTGTAGAAGTCCCTAAGATGTAGTTCATGTGTTATTTATGGCTCTAAAGGCAGCACTAGCATTCTAAATGGAAGTAAAGGCTGGTTGCTACCTAACAAGAATTTTCTTACTGTCCCAACAACTACCTGAAGACAGAATGGGCTGCCTCGGGGATGGGTAGTGAGTTGGTGAATTTCCCAGGCCTAATAGGAGTTGTTAAAGAATTTTTGAATAGAGAAAGAGGGAAGATTAATCTGTAAAGTGTGTAGGAAGGATAGATGGGATAATCTGTAAAGTGTGTAGGATGGATATATGGGAAAGGGGATGTGATGATCTAAGTCAAGCTTGTCCAACCCGCCTTATTTTGTTGTTCTGTTCTGTTTTGTTTTAGGCTTTTTGCAGCTTAAAGCCATGGTTTTTAGTTTGTCTCTAGTGAAAAGAGGGATGAGGAAAGGGCTTTACCAGCCCAACCGGAAACAAAGAACCCATGACTGTATTCTCTCCCTTGGGCCCCGGAGCTACGTATTTAATATTCATAACAGCTTCCATTTGAGTGTTCATTTACCATGCCAGGCAGTGTTCCAAATGCTTTCTCTACATTATCAACTCTTTCATCCCCCCAAACAGCCCTATGAGGAAGGTGCTTTTATCTCCATTTGAAAGTGAGATCAGTGAGGCACAGAAAGGTTCAATGACTCCTTCAAGCTCCAGCAAAGGGTAGAGCTAGTATTCAAACCCAAACAACCTGGCTCCTGCGCCAGGCTCCTACCTACTATATGCCCTTCACCCTAACAAATACCACCCATTTAGGTGGCAAAACACCGTCGTTTACAGCGCACTGTCTCCTAAATTACATCATTAGATATTCCCAACGCCCCTGTGAGGAGTAGGAGGACTAACTCCATTTCACAGATAAGCAGATAGAGGTCCGAAAAGATTGCAGTTTGAGTCCCAGTGCTTAGGTGACGTCCACCGCTCCTCGGGTACAGGAAAAAGAAGGAAAGGGGAAATGGACGGAAGGGTAAACAAGACTCCGAAGACCCGGGTGAGCAAGGGTTCCCAGGCAGCACTGTTCCCCGGCACCAGCTGAGTCCACCTCTCTCCGCCCCCTCAGCGCACGGCTGAGCCTTGGTCTTTCATCTCTCCAGCCAAGCCCTGGGTTAGCACAGCTGGTTCAATGAAGGAATGCGAAGCCAGAGGCCCTACAAGCTACACCAGCAAAGTGCTGGGACCGCTCGACCCCTACGTGCCCCGCGCCCCTTCCCAGCGTCCCCCGGGCCGGGAAGTCCCGGTACCACCCCCGCCCACATGCGCCGGCTGGGCCTGGCGGCCTCCCCCGGAAACGTTCCCCCATCCTCGCCCGGCGCCTCACTCACCAAGGGCCGCGCCGGGGTTCTGCACTGTCACTGCGCTGCGGTTCCCCGCCTTAGGGATTCTCACACGGTTCCACGGCTCCAGGCCCGGCGGCACCGCAGCCATCATGCGAGGCGGGGGGACTTACGAAAGGCGGAGCTACGCGAGAGCACGTCCAGCGACCGGAGGTGGGGCGATGGGACCCAGTCCGGGCCGGAAGGGAGCAGGGGGTGGGGCTCGGGCGGGGCCAGGAGCCCGGCGGGAGGCTGCCTTCATCGAGTAAACGCGTGGGACTGGGAAGGACCCAGTCATCTGTATATTGGTTACCAACACGTGGCCGCGTAGAATCATGGGGGAAAAAAGGCCCCATCCCAATACTAACCAACAGAATCTCTGAGAATGCGATGAGGAATCTGCGTTTTGTTTAAACTTAGCGCAGGGGATTCGGAAGCACAACCAAGTTTGGAACTGTTAAATACTTCTAGGCATTTTACAAATATGGAAAATGAGGCCCAGAATTGAGTTGGTGCTTTTACCCCCAACTCTGCCTCAGACATTAGGGGAAAAAGGAAGAAATGAAATGAAGAGGTTTGTGCAAGGTGTGGAATTTGTAGCGAAGAAGCAGTGATTTGCTTTGAGTGGTAAAGGAAGGCTCCTTTATGTCTTGAACCACAGCAAAACCGAGATCACATCAAAGAAACTTGGAAGACACCTGTCAGTCATTCCCACTTTTGTCAGTCTCCAAGACAAGATCATATTCCAAGCTCTAGTGATCCTTACCTCATTAATATCTTTCTAATAATTCATTTATCCTCAGCCATGCTAATGCCCCCTTAAGTTCTTAACACTCCCACAGTAACGTATTAGAAAAACAGTGAGTTTTGGAAACAGACTGCCAAGGTTCTAGTTCTAGCTTTGCTGTTTACTAGCTCGGTGATCTCAGGAAATTTACTTACCTCCTCCTCCAGACCTTAGTATCCCTGTGGGTAAAATGAAGATGATAATAATAGTATCAATCTCACAGACTTGTAAAATGCCAAGGCACTCCTGGCATACAAACAATGAACATTTACCATAGTTAATATTGTTGATGTTATTACTACTATTTCATGCAAGCAGTCTTACTTTATTGAAACACTTTCCATGCTCTTTCTGTGCGCCTTTACACATCTACCTACTCTACCTGGGTCATCCTCGGAAACACAATCTCCTTTCCTCAGCTCTGGGGTCGTCACTTGGGGTAATTCTTCCTAAACACCCCGTCCTCACTCCATAACTTGATACAGAGGCCCCTTTAATGTGTTACCACAGTGCCCTATGTTGGCCTATGTATTAGTTTTCTATTGCTGCTGTAACCAATTACGACAAACCTAATGGCTTGAAATAAGTAGAAGTTATTTTACATTTCTGGAGGTCAGAAGTCCAAAATTAATTTCAATGGACTGAAGTTGGCAGGGCTGGTTCCTTCCGGAATCTCTAGGGAAGAATTCATTTCCTTTCCTTTTCCAGCTTCTAGAGGCTGCCTTCATTCCTTGGCTCATTTCACTATCCTCCACCTTCATTGTCAGCATGACATTTTTCAGTCTCCTCCTCTTCCTCTGTCTCTCTCACCCTCCTGCCTGCCTCCCTCTTAAAAACACCCTTGTGATTACATTGAGCCCATCAAGATAATCAGGATAGTCACTCCATCTCAGAATCTTTAACTTAATCACATCTGTTTTAGAACTCCAAATTCAGGCTCATGTACCCGATGGGCAGCTGATGCCAAATATTGAGATACTGGTGCTTGGAGACAGAGAAATATTTATTCGATTTGACCAAAGTTAGAGGGCAAGAGAGCAAGATCTCTCAGATCCACAGTAACAAAAAAGAAGCAGGGAGTTTTTATGGAGCTAGAGAGTAATGGAGAGGGAGTTTCAAGGAATCCAAGGGAAAAGTCTGTGTTTCTTCCATTTCAGGTAACACCTTGTGCAGCCGTATGTACATGGCAGCTGGTTGCAATGTCCTTCCAGGAATTCATTCCTTCTGCAAACTATTCTTATGACCCTGAAGTTATCTCCTTCTGCTTGACAAAGAAACAGTACATCAGCAGTTTATAATTACATTGTGGGAACAAGGAATACTGGGCAAAAAGCGAGTGGTTAACATGTACAAGCAAGCAAGGGCCTGTTCAAAATTTTCATTATTTCATGCACACACACACACACACACACACACAAAAATGCTGGGGTGCTGAAATCTCAAGCAGCTGAAATCTCAAGGTTATATAGCTACAAAATCCCTTCTCAGTGCAAGGTAACATATTTACAGATTATGGAAATTAGCATGTGAACATCTTTGGGTGGGAGGTGGAGGGATCTTTATTCAGCCTACCACAGCCTCTCTCACAGAATTTACCTCGCTTTATTGTATTTCTTTGTTTACTTTCATGTCTATTTCTCCAATGGCATATGAACCTACTGAAAGCGAGAACTACCATTGACATAGCTAACTGGTCTTTCTATCTCAATGCTTAGTTCAGAGCCTGGCATATAGTAGGGCCTCAGTAGATATTTACTGGCTGTATATGAGGTTGGATGATGCTTGAATAGAGTCTTTTGAAGGATGAATAGGAACTCCCCAGGCAGTTAAAGGAAAAAGGATATTCCTACAGAGAGGTTTTAAGCAGCATGGGTTTGAAGAATCACTAGTCCTGAGTTGGTACTGCTGGGACGTGATTTGTGCTGAGGGGTGGAGCTGGGAATAGTGGTGTCAGTCAGATCATGGGAAGAATTTGGCTTTTTACCTGAAGACCAGTAGTTCAGAAACCTGGCTGATTATCAAAATTGCCTGGATAACTTAAAAATAGAGATTTTCAGGTCCCACTTGAAAATTCTTACTCATTAGTTCTGAGTAGGTCTGTTTTGAAAAGGTCTTTGTGATGGTACTCTAGGTTGACGTGTCCTTGCTATAGGTGATAAAGGAGTCACTCACTGAGTCTTAGGCAGAGCAATTTTTGTCAGCTTGCCTCAGAAGAAGAGCACCCTGGAGAACAGATTTGGGAGAGAAGAGGTTGGAAGTAAGGAGACCAGGCCCATCTGTTCTATTACAAAAGCTAAGGCCAGAAATGATGCAGACCCAAACCTTCAAGCATTTCTACTGGATATAGACAGTATGACTTATTTAGATGTCTAGCATGGGTGGAGAGTGTCCCTTATCTGAAATGCTTGGGACCAAAATTGTTTCAGATTTCCGGTTTTTTTTAGATTTTGGAATACTTGCAAATATACATGAGATATCTTGGGTATGGGACCCAAGTATAAACATGAAATGTATGTATGTTTCATATCTACCTTAAACACATGGCCTGAAGAAACTTTTATGTAATATTTTTAATAATTTTGTGCATGAAACAAAGTTTGTGTACATCTCAATCACCCATGTGGACAGTCTGTGGTTGTTTGGTGTCAACATCATTCCTGACTCTGAATTTATATGCTACTGTTTTTTTGTTTGTTTGTTTGTTTGTTTGTTTGTTTTTTGAGATAGAGTCTCACTCTGTTGCCCAGGCTGGAGTGCAGTGGCACGATCCCGGCTCACTGCAAGCTCCACCTCACAAGATCACACTATTCTCCTGTCTCAGCCTCCCGAGTAGCTGGGACTACAGGTGCCCACCACCATGTCTGGCTAATGTTTTTTTGTATTTTTAGTAGAGACGGGGTTTCACTGTGTTAGCCAGGATAGTCTCGATCTGCTGACCTTGTGATCTGCCCGCCTTGGCCTCCCAAAGTGCTGGGATTACAGGTGTGAGCCACCGCACCCAGCCTATATGCTGCTGTTAAGCAACCATTTTTTTCTCTTATTCACACATATGTGCTTAATAGTAAAAAAAATGATATACCATTAATACAGTGAAAATTAATGTGTTCAGGGTAACTTGTATCATCATGTCAGTACTCAAAAAGTTTGGCATTTTGGAGCACTTCAGATTTTGGATTTTCAGTTTAAAGATGCTCAACCTATTTACATATTTACATGTCTAGAATGATGATATGGTTTGGGTCTGTGTCCCTACCCAAATCTCATGTTGAATTATAACCCCCAATGTTGGAGGAGGGGCCTTGTGGGATGCAATTGGATAGTAGGGGCAGAAATCTCCCTTGCTGTTCTCATGATAGTGAGTTCTCAGGACATCTGGTTGTTTAAAAGTGTGTAGCACCTCCCTCTTTGCTCGCTTGCTCTCCTTCTCTGGCCATGTAAGATGTGCCTGCTTCCCCTTCACCTTCCTCCATGATTGTAAGTTTCCTGAGGCTTCCCCAGTTGTGCTTCCTGTACAGCCTGCAGAATTGTGAGTCAATTAAACTTCTTTTATTTATAAATTACCCAATCTCAGGTAGTTCTTTATAATAATGTGAGAATGGACTAATACAAATGACTTCCAGATTTTCACCTTAAGTTCGAAATATGACATTCAGAAGAAAAATAGATTTAGGGAGGTGGCAAGGGTGATAAGATAACTTTCGATATACTGAGTTTGAGATTGTCCATGGCTATCCACGAGAAAATGTGCAGTTCACCAGTTGAATAAATGGGACTATAGCTCAAAAGTGATTGCAAAGGGTTGAAGTAGAGACAATGAATATAAAACAATATTTTTAGTAGCTTAGATAGGAGGGAAAATGGAGTTTATTGGTGACAGAGAGATGCAGGATCAAGAAGAGTATTGTTTTGTTTTGTTCTGATTTTAAGGATAGTTTACTAGTCAGGATTCCACCAGCCTGTAGGGGTGGGTTGCCCCTACACACCTGTGGGTGTTTCTCGTAAGGTGGGACGAGAGATTTGGAAAAGAAAAAGACACAGAGACAAAGTATAGAGAAAGAAATAAGGGGACCCGGGGAACCAGCGTTCAGCATATGGAGGATCCCGCCAGCCTCTGAGTTCCCTTAGTATTTATTGATCATCTGTGGGTGTTTCTCGAAGAGGGGGATGTGTCAGGGTCACAAGACAATTGTGGGGAGAGGGTCAGCAGACAAACACGTGAACAAAGGTCTTTGCATCATAGACAATGTAAAGGATTAAGTGCTGTGCTTTTAGATATGCATACACATAAACATCTCAATGCTTTACAAAGCAGTATTGCTGCCCGCAGGTCCCACCTCCAGCCGTAAGGCGGTTTTTCCCTATCTCAGTAGATGGAGCATACAATCGGGTTTTATACCGAGACATTCCATTGCCCAGGGACAGGCAGGAGACAGATGCCTTCCTCTTGTCTCAACTGCAAGAGGCATTCCTTCCTCTTTTACTAATCCTCCTCAGCACAGACCCTTTACGGGTGTCGGGCTGGGGGACGGTCAGGTCTTTCCCTTCCCACGAGGCCATATTTCAGACTATCACATGGGGAGAAACCTTGGACAATACCTGGCTTTCCTAGGCAGAGGTCCCTGCGGCCTTCCGCAGTTTTTGTGTCCCTGGGTACTTGAGATTAGGGAGTGGTGATGACTCTTAAGGAGCATGCTGCCTTCAAGCATCTGTTTAACAAAGCACATCTTGCACCGCCCTTAATCCATTTAACTCTGAGTTGACACAGCACATGTTTCAGAGAGCACGGGGTTGGGGGTAAGGTCACAGAATCTCAAGGCAGAAGAATTTTTCTTAGTACATAACAAAATGGAGTCTCCTATGTCTACTTCTTTCTACACAGACACAGTAACAATCTGATCTCTCTTGCTTTTCCCCACATTTCCCCCTTTTCTTTTCGACAAAACCACCGTCGTCATCATGGCCCGTTCTCGATGGTCGCTGCCTCTTCGGAGCTGTTGGGTACACCTGCAGACTAACAACTGACAAAACAGGCACACAAGGATTAATATGAAATTTATAATCGTAGTACTTCCAATGGTCTTAACCCAAGTGACAGGGTTAAGATTTGCGAGGCCAACAGCAACTCCTGCAATTGCCTCAGTTCCTGGCACCAAATTTAAATGGGCTTTAGATGCTTCGAAAATTTGTTCTTTTAATTTGGAAATGTCTAAAGTGAGATTATCTTCTCTTCCCTGTAGATGGCGTCTAACCATGTCCCAGTGATGCTCAGACTCATTATAAATTTGGGGTGTAATACAAAAATCTGACGTATTCCAGTCACACTGTAACTGGAAAAGATGTTCTAAGCTCATGAGTCTGTCTCCCATCCAAATGACAGTTTGTCTAAGATCAATTAATTTGATTTGCCAATTTTTGATCAATACTAGATTGTGAATTCCACAATCTTGTAGAATTCTTTTGCCAATCATTAACAAAGTTTACTGACTGAACAGAAGAGTGCAATGCAACTCCTGCTACAGCAGCCGTAGCTGTGACTGCAATTAATCCCATAATCACTGCAATTAAAGTAAAAATGAATCTTTTGGATCTATTTAAAACACCTTTTAATACTTCAGTTAAAATATGGACGGATAGTGAGGCCTCCCACGGTCGGTCCATGGACACAGGGATCCACACGCCCTCTCTTGCTCTCACCAGCAGAATACGGTGTTGCCAATTAAAAGTTGAATCAATGCAAGTAAGCAATCTCCAATTTTCACAGGTTATAGTCTGGGAGTCTGGTTTAATAACTATATTTCCTACAACTAGCATATAAGGGGGCTTTACGCAACTTTGTAAAGGAACTGTTAGACTGGAATTTAGGTCAACAGTATAAAATGGCTTACGATCTCTTGTTTCTAAAGTTTGATTTCCAGACCAAATTCTAATGTGGTGTGAGGCCACAGTAAGCCTCCATAATTCTGGATGTTCAGGACCAGAAACAGGACTTATTATTTTTGGTCTTGGGGTAGAGATTCCTTTTTCTCCCCATTCCCAAGGGTAGAAAGACTGCAATTTTTTATGCTTATGTTTGTCTAAACTTTCTGTTAAGTCGCTATCAACAGCTGGACTCACTTGTGCACTTGGACACGACTGAGTTTGTCCTGAGCAATTGTGGTAGAATTGACCTCGAGGTGCCCAATCTATAATAGTTCCGAATTCATTGTTTTGTAATATCACCGCACTATTGGCCACACATTCTTCCCAAACTAAAACTTCTGTATTTTTTGATTCTTTGGGAATTTCCTTGGGGCAAGGTTTCCCTTTAGGTCTAAATTTTAATGATCTTTGATAAGAAAAGTCTTGTAAATAATTTACCCGTGGCCTAAGTGACATCCCGCTTACCATGTGATAAGTGAATCTACTGATGGGACTGACAGTAGGTACTTCTACCAACCAATTTTGGACTGCAGGCATTAAACATCCTGGTGCTCTCCCTAGGCAAATAGGAGGATAACGATACCCAATGGAAATATTTATCATCATCCCTTCTTCCTCAGGTTTGGCAGGGCAGCGATCATCTGTGGGGCCAGGTACCCATTCGCTATCATTAACATATACTTCTATAGGATTATCCATCCATGTGACTGGTGTTACCATCTCCGTGGAGGCCCTTTTCTTTGCATCTCCGATGGGTTCATTGTAGAACTTCAAATGTCTAGTGGGTATCCAAACAGGAAGCTGATTTTCTCCTGGTGAAACACAAGCAAAACCTCTCCCCCACGTTATCACCTTCCCTATTTCCCATGTCTTATTTTTATTATCTTTCCACCAAATTAGTTTTCCTTCATGTGGGCTGTTCTTTTTACCAGTAAGATGTTGTTCTGCAGAAGTAGTAGTCTGATTTCTATAAATGTTTAAAAAATTTAAAGTATAGAGTGCTAGATTAAGTTGCATCTGAGGAGTGGTACACTCCTTACTGTCTCCCCCTTCTTTTTGTTTAACTAATTGAGTTTTGAGTGTTCTATTAGTTCTTTCAACTATGGCCTGTCCTTGGGAATTATAAGGAATTCCTGTTGTATGTGAAATTTTCCACTGACTTAAGAATTTTTGGAAAGCTTTACTACAATATCCTGGTCCATTGCCAGTTTTGATTTTTTCTGGAACTCCCATTATAGCAAAACAATAAATGTTTTTTAACATGGGAAGTACTTTCTCCTGTTTGGCAAGTTGCCCATATGAAATGTGAATAAGTATCAACTGTTACATGAACATATGATAATCTTCCAAATGAAGGTACATGCGTGACATGCATTTGCCATAATGCATTAGGACACAGACCTCTGGGATTAACTCCTGCCTCTTGAGTGGGCAGGTGTAAGACTTGACACTGGGTGCAATGTTGTACAATATCTTTTGCCTGTTTCCATGTGACATCAAATTTGTTTTTTAATCCTGCTGCATTTACATGAGTCAAAGCATGAAGTTCTTGTGCTTTTATGAGTGCAGATGATACCAGTAAGTCAGCTTCTTCATTTGCTTTAGTCAAAGGCCCTGGTAAATTAGTGTGTGCTCGAATATGAGTAATATAAAATGGGAAATTTCTTTTTCTTACAGTTTGTTGTAATAAATTGAATAGCTGGTTTAACTGATCATCCATGCTATATTTAATTAGAGCTGTCTCAACATCCCTTGTAGCCTGTACTACATATGCAGAATCTGATATAATATTGATAGGTTGGTCAAAATCTTGTAACACTGTAATGACTGCAACCAACTCTGCTCTTTGAGCTGATTGATATGGAGTTTTGATTACTCGTTCTTTCGGCCCTGTGTAAGCTGCTTTTCCATTGCTGGAACCATCAGTAAATACTGTTAGAGCATTTTCTAAAGGTTCACGTCTGGTAATTTTAGGTAGAATCCAAGTAGTCAGTTTTAAGAACTGGAAGATCTTTGTTTTTGGGTAATGATTATCAATAATTCCCACAAAATTAGCAAGACCAATCTGCCATGCACCAGAATTGATAAAGGCTTGTCTAACTTGTTCCTTGGTTAAAGGGACAACTATTTTGTCTGGGTCATTTCCACATAATTTTATTATTCGTAATCTTGTCTGACCGATTAATGTAGCTATTTGATCCAAGTACAATGTAAAAGTCTTAACTGTACTGTGAGGAAGGAATGACCACTCCACAAGATCAGTATTTTGAATAATGATGCCTGTTGGAGAATGTGCAGTGGCAAAAATCAAAAGTTGGAGTGGGGCTAAGGGATCTATTCTATTTATTTGCGCTGACTGAATTTTTTCTTCCACTAATTTAATTTCTTTTGTTGCCTCTGGGGTTAACATTCTTTTACTATTTAAGTCTGAGTCTCCTCTTAAGATAGAGAACAAATTTGACATGGCATAAGTAGGAATGCCTAGAGTTGGCCAAATCCAATTAATATCTCCTAGTAATTTTTGAAAATCATTTAGTGTTTTTAATGTGTCTTTTCTTATTTCTATTTTTTGTGGCTTAATTTTTCTATTTTCTATCTGCATCCCTAAATAATGAAAAGGAGTAGAGGTTTGGATCTTATCAGATGCTATTGCCAGTCCAGCATTGGCAACCTCTGCTTGCAGAAATGTATAACAGTCAATTAATTTATCTTTCGTTTCTGCAGCACATAAAATATCATCAATATAATGAATAATATAACAGTCTGAAAACTTTTCTCTAACTGGTTGAAGAGCTCGACCTACAAAAGTCTGACAAATAGTTGGACTATTAAGCATTCCCTGAGGTAACACTTTCCACTGAAACCTGGTGGCTGGTTCTTTATTATTTATGGCTGGTATAGTAAAGGCAAATTTTTCACAATCCTGCTCTGCCAGAGGGATGGTAAAAAAGCAATCCTTTAGATCAATTATAATTAAAGGCCAATCTTTTGGGATCATGGCCGGAGAGGGCAACCCGGGTTGGAGAGGCCCCATGGGTTGAATTACGGCGTTTACGGCCCTTAAGTTAGTTAACATACGCCATTTGCCTGATTTCTTCTGAATTACAAACACAGGAGAATTCCAAGGCGAGGATGAAGGCTCAATATGACCCTTTTCTAACTGTTCATTTGCTAATAAATGTAAAGCCTCCAGTTTTTGTTTTGGTAGCGGACACTGATTTACCCACACCGGTTTTTCTGTTTTCCAAGTTAATGGTATGGGTTTAGGAGGCTCTACAGTGGCCGCCCCTAAAAAGGATACCCTATTCCTTCTCTTTTTTGATTTATTTTAGCCTCAACTGGAACTTTAATGCCATCTTCATTTTTCCCTAGTCCCTTTCCTGGTATATATCCCATCTTGGTCATGATTTTTTGACTCGTGGGGCTATATAATGGAGCGGGCATGGTGATTTCCGCACCCCCTTGTTGTAATAAATCTCGACCCCACAGATTAAGAGGAATTTAAGTAATCATTGGCTGAACAGTACTTTCTTGATTATCTGGCCCTAAGCAATGTAAAATCTCCATACTTTGATACACTTCTGAGGCTGTGCCTATGCCGACAAGTCCTGTAACAGCCTTTTGTTTAGGCCAATTTTTTGGCCACTGATTTAAAGCAATGATAGAGACATCTGCTCCAGTGTCTACCAACCCTTCAAACTGTTTTCCTTGAATAATGGCCTTACACACAGGTCTGTTCTCTGAGACCTGACTTGCCCAATATGCAGCCTTTCCTGTTGGATCAGTGCTTCCAAGCCCTCCTATTCTTTTTATTTCACTATTTCCACCCTTAATATATGGCAGGAGTAATAATTGAGCAATCCTGTCTCCTGGACTGGCACTCCAAGGAACTGAAGAGCTAATAACCAATTGAATTTCGCCTTTATAGTCTGAATCAACCACACTAGTATGAATTTGAACTCCTTTTAGATTTAGACTTGATCTTCCCAAGATTAGTCCTACAGTCCCCTCAGGCAGGGGGCCATATACCCCTGTGGGGATTTTTTGTGGGGGCTCCCCTGGAAGCAGAGAGACTGCTTGTATAGTACATAAATCTACTGCTGCACTGCCGCTTGTGGGGGGGACAATTGTTGTATTGTGGTAACTGGCTTATTCCCTGAAACACTTGGGACAGTGGGGGTTGTTGTCCCTGAAAACCCTGAGGAACAAATGGCTGAATTGGGAATGCCCCAGTTTGTTGTGGGGCCTGAGGCTGGCCCCTTTGCTCGTTTCCCGACAATGGTTGCCCATTTTTATCAAATTTAGAACGACATTGACTAGCCCAATGTTTTCCTTTTTTACATCTTGGACATAAGTCAGGTGGCTCTCTACCTGTTGTAGTTGCTTGAATAGTTATATTCTGTTTATTTAAGACTGGGCAATTCTTTTTTAAGTGACCAATTTGACCACAATTATAACATTTTCCTCCAAATGTTCTAACTTGTCCTCCTAAAACAACTCCTGTTATTGCTTGAGCCATAAGCATAGCTTTATGCATAGCTCCTCCGATTCCATCACAGGCTTTTACATATTCTGAGATTACATCTGATCCTGCAGGAACCTTTCCTTTTAATGGCTTAATGGCTGATTGACACTCAGGATTGGCGTTTTCATATGCCATTAACTCCACTATGACCTTACGGGCTTTTTCATCGGCAATTGACTTTTGAGCAACATCTTGGAGCCTTGCCACAAAATCAGGATAGGGCTCTTTTGAACCTTGTCTTACTGTATTAAATGAGGGGCAGGTACTTCCTGGGTCTTGGATTTTTTCCCAGGCTCTAAGGCAGATAGCTCTAACTTGCTCAATGGCCTCATTTTGCATTAATGCTTGTTGACTAATAGTACTCCAATTTTGACCTATTCCTAATAGTTGATCTGCATCTATGTTAACTGGAGGATTGGCAGCCCTATTTCTTCGGACCTGTTCTTGTACCCCATCAATCCACCAAGTCTTAAATTGTAAAAATTGAGAGGGTGAGAGAGACGATTTTGCCAGAATCTCCCAATCATAAGGAATGAGTTTATGTCCATGAGCAATGGAATCTAATAATGTCCTCATATAAGGGGAGTTGGGTCCATACTGTTTTACTCCCTCTTTCATATCTTTTAGCATTTTTATCGAAAAAGACTTGTATCTGGCCTCAACTGTGGGAGGCTCTCCCTCTTGGGCTCCTTCTCCAGGTGGCATCGGTTCTAACGTTACTGGGAATTGCCATGCCTCAGTATCTCCTTCCTTTCTTGATTTATCAATAATTTCATGTAATTCACTACCCCGTCTACTAGGTGGTGCCGTAGGATTAAGTCTCCTAGTGGGTGGCTGAGGGTATGGCGCCCTGCCCTGTGGTGCTGGGGGCATTCCTGGATATCCATACTGACTTTCTGGGGGTGGCCGATACTGAAGTTCAGCCGGCGGCCAGTATTGATAGGCTACTGGCGGTTGGGTCTTATTTTCTTTAACCTGCTTTTGAGGTTGTAATGTTACGGGCACCTGACCTGCTGGAAGATGACTTGTGCCTCGTGGTTTAGACTCTGATGGCCCCACTAATTCTGGACCTTTTCCTTCCAATTTTAACGTTTCAGGATATATCACCTCCTGTAATTGATTATAGTCAACATTTTGCGTTGACTGAGCCATTACCGGCTCTGCTACATATTCGCAATGTAAACCTTCCGTTTCTTTCTGGGATTTTTTCCTTGTGTTTTCATTACAATCTATTATACAGCTTCCAAGGGCATCAGAAACTGAAACACTATCTTCTTCTGTTTGAAATGGTTCTAAAGCTGCTTTAATAATGGCCCAATCATTCCATACTGTAAGTGGAATGACATTACCCTTCCTACCTGCTTGTTTTAGTTCCTTACCAATTCTTTTCCAATCTTTTAGATCTAAAGTTCCTTGTTCTGGAAACCATGGGCAAAATTGTTCTATTATTTGAAATAGCTTGATTAGATTTTTTGTAGATACTTTAACTCCCCCTCTTTTTAAAAGAATTTTAATAAAGCTGAGATAAGAGGCATATTTACTTTTAATTTTACTTTTAGTTTGCCCCATTATCACCCTAGCTTCTTCCGAGCGCACAAGCTTACCGTAAGGCTGACTGTAGACGTACTCGGGATCTCTCGTCGACTTGTCCTCAATGACCACGCTCGAGCGTACCTTCACCCTAGAGAAAAGCCTCCACGTTGGGCACCAGATGTAGGGGTGGGTTGCCCCTACACACCTGTGGGTGTTTCTCGTAAGGTGGGACGAGAGATTTGGAAAAGAAAAAGACACAGAGACAAAGTATAGAGAAAGAAATAAGGGGACCCGGGGAACCAGCGTTCAGCATATGGAGGATCCCGCCAGCCTCTGAGTTCCCTTAGTATTTATTGATCATCTGTGGGTGTTTCTCGAAGAGGGGGATGTGTCAGGGTCACAAGACAATTGTGGGGAGAGGGTCAGCAGACAAACACGTGAACAAAGGTCTTTGCATCATAGACAATGTAAAGGATTAAGTGCTGTGCTTTTAGATATGCATACACATAAACATCTCAATGCTTTACAAAGCAGTATTGCTGCCCGCAGGTCCCACCTCCAGCCGTAAGGCGGTTTTTCCCTATCTCAGTAGATGGAGCATACAATCGGGTTTTATACCGAGACATTCCATTGCCCAGGGACAGGCAGGAGACAGATGCCTTCCTCTTGTCTCAACTGCAAGAGGCATTCCTTCCTCTTTTACTAATCCTCCTCAGCACAGACCCTTTACGGGTGTCGGGCTGGGGGACGGTCAGGTCTTTCCCTTCCCACGAGGCCATATTTCAGACTATCACATGGGGAGAAACCTTGGACAATACCTGGCTTTCCTAGGCAGAGGTCCCTGCGGCCTTCCGCAGTTTTTGTGTCCCTGGGTACTTGAGATTAGGGAGTGGTGATGACTCTTAAGGAGCATGCTGCCTTCAAGCATCTGTTTAACAAAGCACATCTTGCACCGCCCTTAATCCATTTAACTCTGAGTTGACACAGCACATGTTTCAGAGAGCACGGGGTTGGGGGTAAGGTCACAGAATCTCAAGGCAGAAGAATTTTTCTTAGTACATAACAAAATGGAGTCTCCTATGTCTACTTCTTTCTACACAGACACAGTAACAATCTGATCTCTCTTGCTTTTCCCCACACCAGCCAAAGAGAAACAGTAGAATATGTAAAGGGATTTACAGAAAGAAATTGACTTATACCATTGTAGAGGTCAGATAGGAAAGTCTGAAATTCATAAGGCTGGAAACTCTCAGGCAGGAGCTGAAGAGGAAGTCCGCAGGTGGAATTTCTTCTTTCTTCACATCTTCAGGAAAACCTAAGTTCTATTCTTTAGGCCTTTCAACTGATTGGATCAGGCTCACCCACATTACCCAGAATAATCCCCTTTACATAAAATCAACTGGCTGTAGACATTAATCACTTCTACAGAATACCTTCACAGCAACACCTAAGCTAATATTTGATTGAATAACTGGGTGCTACAGCCTAGCCAAGTTGACACATAAAGCTGACCATCACAGATGGAAAATGACTTGATCAAACATATATATAGGCTAAAGGGAAGAATTCAAAGTGTGAAAGAAGCTGGATATAAAAAAATAGGAGAGAATTGATGGAGAAAGACCCATTACTCATTCAACAAAGTTTCTGAGCGTCAGTTTTTTGCCAGACACCATCCTAGGAACCAGAAGAGACAAGCAGGGATGGAATCAAGTGCTGAAGTAAAGCAGTTGACTTAAATATCAAAACCTTTTATTATCTGAGCCAGGAAGAAAAATAAAGATAGTATAGATATAGATCTATTTCGGAAGGAGTGATGGACAGCTTCTGTGTTCTCAATGGAGGAGGATTTGAGATCATTACCAAGAGTGGAGGAGGGCAGGGAGATGGTGTTCTGGATGAGCAATGGATGTTGAAATCCGAGCTTCCTTGAATCAGGGCACATGGGAAAAGCACAGGCTATGTACATTAGAAGTAAGGTTTTAGGGCCCTACTGTAAACAAATCTCTAGACTGCAAAAAAAAAAAAAAAAAAAGGCTGTCACAGACAAAAATGACCATTAAATGTAAAACCTTGGCCATCTCATTAGTAATTCATGAAATACAAATTAAAATAATTTTTAGCTTCTATCAAATAGACAAAGAGTAAAAAGCATGGTGTCTGGTGTCACTAGGGCTTTGCACGAAAAATCTAGGTGCAAAGTTATCCTTTGTTGTAATCATAAAAAAGGAAAGTGACATTGTATCCTCACAATAATTCGATTACTTTCTAATATTTTGGCAGTGGAATTTTTTATTCCCCACAAAATCTTATATAGAAACCTACTATGTAAAACAAATATATAAAAGCAAGATTGCAGTGGTTAAGTATGTATGGGGGAATGCAAGGCCCTCCCATTAAGGCAATTTTGAGGGGCCATTTCCTGAGGTACTTGCCCAAGACATTTCCTAGAACAGTTTGAAACTTGCTGCTGTAAATAAATATGTATTAATGTGAGCAATTATTAATGATACATTAAGATTTTTTTAAGCAGTTCAGAAAACTGTATGTCATTCCTTGAAAAAAATACATAGCCACACATTGAGGAAGAGGTCTAGAAGGATCTAAATGAAGGTTATAACAATGGTCATTTTTCTGGCAGTAGGATAGATTTTTTTTTCTTCTATGAGCTTATTTTTTTATATTTTAAAAAAAGAAGTATTGCTGTTGTAATGAGAAAAAATTATGTATTATTTTTATTTATTTATTTAATTATTTTATTTATTTTACTTTTTTTGAGGTGGAGTCTCACTCTGTCGCCCAGGCTGGAGTGCAGTGACACTGTCTCGGCTCACTGCAACCTCCACTGGGAACAAGTGATTATCCTGCCTCCGCCTTCCAAGTAGTTGGGATTATAGGCACCCACCGTGGCCAGCTAATTTTTGTGTTTTTAGCAGAGACAGGGTTTCTCGATGTTGGCCAGTCTGGTCGCGAACTCCTGACCTCAGGTGATCCCCCAACCTCAGCCTCCCAAAGTGCTGGGATTACAGGCGTGAGCCACCTCGCCCGGCGAAAAAAATTATTTTTAATGCTAGAATGCTGTGTACCAAGATGTTTGTGTGTGTGCATGCACATGATATGATATGTGTATGCACAATATATTCAGAGATATATCTTTTGGCTTATTCACCTATGGCCTTTCAGCTCTAATCCCATGCTTCTATATTTGCTCTGTGATGCTGGAACTGGGACTCTGCAAACTACTTGGCTAGCTGGTAGATATACCAATATGGGCCACTAGAGGGAGGTTGAAGGCAAGAGCAGGAGAGAAGATTCTTCTCTGCTCCATTGTCCCTGGCAGTGTTGCCCAACACTGTCTTCACTCCAGGTAATGGCAGTTGGTTCCAGTCCCTGAATCTTTTTGACACACGCCCAGACCTACCCTCAGAGGTACTAGCAGCACCGGGATGGTGTTCTGTCCTCAGAGGTCTGGGTCCCAATTCCGTAAGTCCCTTCCTCTAAAAATCTAAATTCTGATAACCCCAAATTTCTTTGCCTGGTTTCTCCAGTTCCAGGGATTGTAACTGCTTTCAGCAGTTACCTCTGTGTTACTTCAGTGTTGTATCATCTTTTCATCTTAGTTCTTAAACATTCATTTAACTAATTCCTTATATTTACCTTAAATTCTTTCTGGTGGCCGGGCGCGGTGGCTCATACCTGTAATCCCAGCACTTTGGGAGGCTGAAGTGGGTGGATCACTTGAGGCCAGGAGTTCGAGACCAGCCTGACCCACATGGTGAAACCCCCTCTCTACTAAAAATGCAAAAAAATTAGCCAGGCGTGTTGGCGCATGCTTGTAATCCCAGCTACTTGGGAGGCTGAGGCAGGAGAATCCTTGAACCTGGGAGGCAGAGGTTGCAGTGAGCCGAGATTGCACCCTTGCACTCCAGCCTGGGCAACAAGAGTGAAACTCCATCTCGAAAAAGAAAATTCTTTCTGGTAAAATATATAACATGGTATTATTTTGTTTTACTAATGGACTTTGACTGATATGATATTTGGAACCAGAAGTGGTCCCAGGAAACGGCCCCTCTAAATGAAATTCTGTGGTTGGTTTGGCCATGTCCTTAGCTTTAAACACAGTAGTGATGGGGAAATTGGGTATTAGAAATCCTTGGTGTGCTGCAGCATCATACTTAGTCACCTGAAGCTGACTGTGAGGAAGTGCCCTCTGAAGCCCACTGACTCCACGACTGTTACAGTAGCAGTGATGCTTCTGAGTGCACTGGAAAGCCTACAGAAAGTGACACACTTAGGTATTTAACACAGCTCAAGTCACAGAGAATCAGGGAGCGTCTATGCTGGCCCTAAAATAATCAGTTATTTCTTATAGTTTCATAGCTGACCTTGACCCAAAATTCAGTTCTGTGGGTTGCAGAATTACAACCTAAACTGAATTCATAGACTCACAAATCTCATCTGTGAAAGTTAGAGCATTGATTGGCAGCAAGAAGGACTCTGAGCCTCGGAATTAGTTGAACTCAGGAAAAGCTGAGAATCTTGGAGCAGTCTGCCTTCCTGTGTCTGAGGAGACTTGTATGAAGACCCTATGATAACCTCAAGACCCACCAAACCACTTCTCATCACTTCTAGAGCTATAACTAAAATCAGATCTCAGTTAGCTCCAGGGGGACAAGTACAAAGTCTAATATGGAAAGAAATAGTTTAGATTTCAAAATAGTTGCAAAATGTTGCTAATTTTTAGTGACAGAAACTGAAGTAGTGTTGGATTTTAACGTTATTAGACCATAGAGGATGGAATATCAAGCACTGGACTAAACCAAATGTATCAATATGAGTCATCATATCAGTTTCTAGAGAGTCTTGCAGCGAGAAGTGTATCTAACAGTTTTCTTTGATGATTGAAAATTGAATCCAGCTATAACCTACATTCAACGAGGTTAAGATGCCAGAATTTCCCTGGATTAATGTAAAAGGAGGGATCCAAAGACTTAGGAAAATTGGAATGTTGGAATGGATATATAATCTGTGGTCTGCACATCCACCCCACCCCGACTGTGTCTTCTGAGAGAGCTCAGAGGTCACACCCTCCACTAAGGCCTTGAGAAATACATTAATGAGGTGCTATCAGTTTCTTTACAAAGTTCTGCAATGGCTGTCTTCTGTAGGTCAGAGTGATGATAGAAGATACCATCATTGAAATTGGCCCCTTGATTTCAATGGGATCCCAGAATGGTAAAGACCAATGAGCAATGATTAATTACAAGAGACAGTTGATGCATTTACTATAATGGACAATAGGAACAAAATGGTAACCAGATTGTTTTGACTAGCAAGGAACTTTAGTGGAGGCTAATTGATCACAGTGTCTGTAGGAATTAAATATATCGCAGCCTATGAAAATATTACTTCATCGATACAAAAGGAACCAGGAACTTGATTTGAGCACCAAACTGGAGAGACATGGCTTCTTACTTAGTTTCCAGATTTAGACAAGTTCAACAATATAGAGTCTCTTGATGGACAGGAAATTCAGGACAAGGATGTTCATCACTGTCATTTACAGTAACAAAAATGTGAACACATATAAATACTGTTGGGCTTCAAAGTGTGGGACCCTAGAAATTGAGAAAACCACAGAAGCAAGGTCATTCTCTCATATTCTCCCACCGTTCTGCAAGACAGCCAGCCATAAAAGAATTATCTGACCTACCTCCCCTGAAAGTAGGCCATAAGACATCACAACACAGGTGTCCTGCTCTGTATCTAGAGGAAATAAAGGAAGACATAAAGAAGAATCTGAACAAACAGGCCTTGCTAAGTTCTCCCCCACAATCCCTGTTTATTATCATTAGGTCATACTCTCCTTTGTCTAGTCATGTTTCTCCACAACTATCCACTTCTTTTATCGGACTTACCATAAAAATACAGTTTTCCCTCGGTTTTTGGGTCATCATTTTTGAAGGGTTCCATGTCATGTAAAATTTTGGTTAAATCTAAATTTTATATGTTTCCTTTGTTAATCCATCTTTTGTTCCGGGGTGTCAGTCATGAACCTTGCAATGGGTGAGGAAAAGATATTGCCTTTTCTCTCCTACAATATCCATGTTTCAGTTATCTGTTGCTGGCTAAAAATCAATAACTTAGTGACTTAAAATAACTATGTAAATGCTTACAGTACTGTGGGTCAGGAATGTGGGCAGGGCTCTGCAGGGGTGGCTTGTCCCTCCTCCACATGGTATTGGCTGGGTGGCTTGACTGGATCAGGAGACTCCCAGATGGCTTCCTTATAAGTCTGGCATCCCTCCTGGGATGGCTCAAATGGCTGAGGGTGGACTGAGATGCCTGGATCTTTATTCTCGTGGCTTTACCTGGGCTCACACATGTGTGTAGAGCTTGAGTTCTCCTCCATGTGGCTTCTCTCTCCACATATTATCTCAACCTCTAGGACCCATCTCTCCACACAGACTCTCTCTACAAATAGGATAATCTAGGCTTCTTTACATAGTGGCTGGGGTCCACCCTGAACAAAAGCAGATGCTGCAAGGCCCCTTAGGATCTGGGCTCAGATCTGGGCTACTTTCACCACATTCTTCTGGCCAAAAAAGTCATAAGGGCAACCTAGGCTCCAGGAATGAGGAAATAGACCCCCTGCTCTTGTTGGGGAAAGCAGTTAAGAATATTACAAAGAGACAAGGACACAGGGGGATGTGATTTACTCATTGGGGTCCATTTATAACAACCTACTACAGTTTAATAAGAAACATTTCCTGGCCGGGCATGGTGGCTCACGCCTGTAATCCCAGCACTTTGGGAGGCTGAGGCGGGTGGATCACGAGGTCAGGAGTTCAAGACCAGCCTGGCCAACATAGTGAAACCCTGTCTCTACTAAAAATACAAAAAATTAGCTGGGCATGGTGGCAGGCGCTGGTAATCCCAGCTACTCAGGAGGCTGAGGCAGGACAATTGCTTGAACCCGGGAGGCAGAGGTTGCAGTAAGCAGAGATTGCACCATTGCACTCCAGCCTGGGCAACAGTGCAAAACTCTGTCTCAAAAAACAAACAAACAAAAATATTTCCTCTTAGAAATTATAGTATGCCCATAGAATGAAAAACAGGGTAAGCAAAATGGCTATAAAGAACAGATCCAAAATATGTAGTGGATCAAACACATTAGATGTTTATTCTCACCTGTTTTCCCCATCTTGTTCAACACATGATTATTCAAATTTTAGGTTCCCATCCTGTGACTTTGAAATCCCCTAGGGCCTTGTCATCATCTGCATCCAGCTATAAGAAGGGGGAACAGATAACATAGAGGTAGGACACACCTGCCTCTTACAAGCATTGGCCCAGGAATACACTCATTATATTCACTCACATTCCTTTGGCTACACCTAACTGCAAGGGAGGCCAGGAAACATAGTCTAGTTGCATATCCAGGAAGAAGGAAATAGGTCAGGCATGGTGGCTTATGCCTGTAATCCCAGCACTTTGGGAGGCTAAGGTGGGCGGATCACTTGGGCCAGGAATTCAAGACCAGCCTGGCCAGCATGGTGAAACCCTATCTCTACTAAAAATACGAACATTAGCCGAGCATGGCGGTGCATGCCTGTAATCCTAGCTATTTGGGAGGCTGAGGCACGAGAATCACTTGAGCCCAGGAGGCAGAGGTTGCAGTGAGCCAAGAGCACCATTGCACTCCAGCCTGGGTGACAGAGCGAGACTGTGTCTCAAAAAAAAAAAAAAAAAAAAAGATAAAGAAAAAAGGAAGAAAGAAGAAAAAATAGTGAACAACTAGAAGACTTTGCTACAATCATTTTTTAAAAAACAAATGTTTAATGGCCCAGAGAAGTGCTCGTTGCATGTCTGACTGGCTGGGGCTGGCGTTGCAGGTGGTAAAGGAATTTACCAAGACAGTTATAGGTAAAGAAAGGCAGATTTATTACAGAAAGTATGAAGATACATCGCAAGGGTGCAATGGGCAGCACAGCAGAGAAGGGGCTGTCTGCAAAGAGGCAGGGGCTGGAGGAAAGTTTTATAGGGTTGTGCTGGAAGGGATATGTGTAAAACGAGGTCATACTGCTGGGGCTACGTGCAGAGTGAGGTAGTTGTACCAGCAGTTGTTTGTGGTTAGCTGTCTCAGAACAATTGTTCTCCCCGACATGGGACCCCTTCTCCATTGTTGCTTACTCATCTTAACAGGACTCCACAGTGCTCACATTTTATTAAATGAATAAAGAAGATAATAAAACTGGTTATATATGATGACTCCAAGTTGGGAAAGGGGCAAATAGGGATGTGTACCCAGAGTAAAAAATGATGCTAAGATATTAATAATAGTTATTTCCAGTTAGTAGGAATACAGAAGAGTTTTATTTTCTATTCTTTTAATTTTCTGAATTGTTCAGTGAACATAAATTACCTCTATAAGATGACATTATTTTTTAAATGTTAAAATATCTCAGTGATAAACACAAAGTGGTCATTTAGCAAGGATCATTGTTGACAATCCATCTCCTATCTCAACTCCTAGAACCTCATAGAAACATAGAGAAGAAACACCTGTTGATAGCAATCTATTTTCTGAGGTATTCAGAGGCCAGCATGCAATTTAACACAATCCCTAATTTACAAAAGCTATTTCTAAGTCCATTGTTTGAAGCTGAATGCATTCTCTGACAAAATTAATGTAAAGGATGATGTTAAAGATCCAGGGCCAGCCCACCAAAGCCACTCTACTGCAACCAGACACGATATTCCTACCAGTCATTCCATAGAGACCAACTCTGGATCCCAGAATTGCTACAGAAAAGTGCTTTCCATGGTCAAGGGCAAGATAGCAGGAGCATATCTTTCCTCATCTTGTGTTACCCTCCACCCCAACAAGCCTTGGCAGCCAAAGTGGGAGCTTTTTTTTTCCCCCACTCTAGTGCATGACTTTGAAAGATTGTAATATAGTCCATGGAAAACATTCGGCAGTCTGAAAGACTTCCCTGGGCCCACCTGTCCTCTCATGGTCAACTGGAGAACGGTCCAGAAATCCTTGAGCTCTGGAAAGCTTCCTGGTTAGTCCTTGGGGAATGCAGGTAGCTATATTGGAAGAACCTGCTCAAGTACAGTTCTTGACATCTGGGGAATCCATTAGGGGAAGATCACTTCAAACTCAATAATGAAGTCCCCACATTTCTTGGGCACTTTAGGGAGAGGGAAGTCTTCTCCAGGGGCTTTTCACTGCATGCCAGGCCTGATGACTTCCTTGAAAACGATGGGTATGGTCTTTCCGTCCAGAGTGGGATGTTCACTGTGCAGCCACACAGAGCCTTCCAAATGCTGATCCTGGCAGGATAGATGACATCAGAGCCATTTCTCTTAAAAATACTATGTGGCTTGTCCTTTAAAACAAAGACGATGTCAGCTGGAATGTTTTTAGAGGTTTGGTCTCCTTCCTTGCTTGGGGAAGGTCATTTTGGTCCCTCTTTCCACCGTGTTTTCACTTCAATGGTCCAGATCTTGTCTTGACTAGAACCAGTTTCCTCACCATGTGGAAAGTGGGAGCCGGGACTTCCTCAGCAATGAGCCTTGCCATGGTGGGGGCACGGAGGTGGAAGGGAGCTGCTTCCAGGCCTGGGGTAGGGGCTCCCACCAGGCATGGTCCTGAAGGAGACAGGTGATGGGATGTTACATTAGGATGACTAGGAAGATGCCAGGGACCCCTAGGATGGGGAAGAAATGTTTTCCTCATGTACTTTTCCCCTTGTGGAAGCAGCCATCTTAGAGACTTTGGTTCCTCTCCATCCCAAGTCCTCCATCATCCCACTTCCTTTAGTGTCCTCATCTCCAGTAACCTTCATATCGACCTCACTGCAGGCATGCACTCTCCAGCCATATCCCAAATCTTAGCATCAATCAGAGTTGTTCCTTCTCTGAAATCATGAATTCAGACATTTCCATTTCTGACAATAGTTTCCTATTTTCCAACTTTCTTACTCAAGTTACACCCTATAAATCTGATCTTAAACTGCACTGAATCACCAGTCCCCAGCACCCTTTTCTCTCTCATCAGTACCCCCACCTTCATCTTTATTTGTCCCCAGTCCATTTCTTGCCAGCATTCTCAATTCCCTCGCCCCATTGTACTTCCATGAGATTTGCCAGGCAAATGCCCAACTCTATAATAATTCTACTCTCTGAATGTTCTGGGATTCCAGAAAAAGCAGAACCCTTAGATAAGAACTCTCTCAACTTTCTGACACCAACCCTACAAACTTACTTGTCTCCCACTCATCCTGTCTTCCATTCTTTCACTTACAACAGATAAGGTGACCCTCCCCTCACCCAAGTTAAATCCTCCCATTTGCATCCTGTGTCCCAAATCCTTCTGCCTTCTCATAAGCTTCAAGCAATTAATAAGTCCCCTACTTTCTTACATCAACAATAAATTCTTTCTATTGGGTCTTTCCTATGAGTACTTAAACATTAACAGGTCTCTTCCATCTTGGAAAAAACAAACTCTTTCCACTCAAGGTTTCTCCACTTGTCCTATCTCCCTTTCCTTCCTTTCCTCCTTCCTTTCTCCTTTCAGAAAAGTAGAGAGAGATGATGAATTCCACAGCCAAACTCCTTGAAAGCCTAACTCCTACTTCACCAAATACTCACCCTTCTACCAATTGCAATTTAGTTTCTAAATACTAATATTACAAGATCAGTCAGCATACCAGCAAAAAGCAGAATTCATCCCACATGGTTCAAGGGAAGAAGCTGCTTACAGAGATATAGGCAGGATGAAGGCATCAAAAATGGAATCGTGAGGCACTCCAAGCGCAGTGACAGTAGGAAGCCATTATCATTCCTAGGGCCAAAGAGACAAGAGGAGGAAATAGAACAGTAAGAGTGAGAACCGGGGAGAAGAGGACACCTGGTAGGAATTGATGTCAAGGAGTGGTGGACTTACTGCCTAAGATAAGACACTAAAGCTGTATGGAACTGGGGAAAAATATTCTGCTCTCTCTGTTTCATTCATCCCATCTGTCATTGCTTTCCATTGGCCAAACCCAGCTGAAAGCTAGAGGGCAAGGGAGCCTAAGTGATAAAGTCTACAGAGCTCAGCCTTCAGGGACACAGGGAAGAGGGGAGAATGGTGGATACACAGAATAACCAGAACATTCACCCACAACCTCCTTTTTATAAAAGTCAGTGTTTTGCTTGGTATTGTTGACCACTGCCTCCTTGAAATAATCTTTTCCTGTGGCATGTGTGGCAGCATATTTGGCCACTTTTCCCTCTACAGGATGCTCCTGCTCAGTTTCTTTTGCTGGTTCCTCTTCCTCTGTCCTTTCCTTTGTATTGGTGTTTTTTTGTTTTGGTTTTTTTTGTTTGTTTGTTTGTTTGTTTTACAAACTCCCAAAGCTCCATCTATAAGTTGAAAATTCACAAAGGTATACCTCTATTTCAGATTTCTTTCCTGAACTTTAGACTTCAGGGTATGTAACTAGAGCACATCTCTGTATATCTGATGATCTTGAAGCACCTCATATTCAATGTGTCTTCAGTTGAACTCACCTCCCACTCTCCTCCCTGAAAACTCACACCTCTTCGTGTATCTCACTGAATAACATTACTACCCACTCAGTTATCTAATCAATCACCCAAGCCATTCTTTTCACTGCTGATAGAATGATTTTCCAAAAATGAAAAATATGATGATTTTACTCCTTTGCTTTCACTGGCTTATTAATTCCATGATAAATCTGAACTACTTAACGTGGCTTACAAAGGTTGTGTCAAATACTTCTAGGTGTTCAGCAAGATCCATGTTCTCCTCTTATTCCTGGGTGCACAGCTGAGCTACTTTTTCTAGCCTTTCTTGAACCACATTTGGCCAAATGACTGAGTTCTAGCCAATGGATGCCATTTCCAGACCAGTGCGTTTTAAAAAACATCTGTCCCTCTTTCACACTCTCTATTTCCCCTTCAGCTGTGAGGATGAAGCCCTAGGGGATGGCAAAATCACAAGAAGGAATTATGGCCTGGAGAAAAGCCATTGCACACCAGGAACACCTGCTGGGACCATTAGGTGAACTAGGAATATATTTATTTCAAAAACTGAGTGTAAAGAGGTTAAGTAGCCCAAGGTCACATGGCAAGTATTCAACAGAGCCCAGATTTCAATCCAGATTGCCTTATACCAAAGGCTAGGTTGATATTTGTGGTGTACTGCTCTTCTTATTATACATTAAGGGTTGTATTCTATGGCTTAATTGGCTGTCTACAGCCAGTAAAAGCTTTTTAAGAAAAAGGACCATGTATGCTTGCTAATTATTGACTTTTAGTACCCAGCAGTATATCTGGCATATAATAGGTACACAATAAATATTCATCAAGCCAGGTGTGGTGGCTCACACCTGTAATCCCAGCACTTTGGGAGGCTGAGGTGGGCAGATCACCTGAGGTCAGGAGTTCAAGACCAGCCTGGCCAACATGGTGAAACCCCCGTCTCTACTAAAAATACAAAAATCAGCTGGGCATGGTGTCACGTGCCTGTAATCCCAGCTACTCGGAGGCTGAGGCAAGATAATTGCTTGAACCCAGGAGGCAGAAGTTGCAGTAAGCTGAGATCACAACACTGCACTCCAGCCTGGGCAACAGAGTGAGACTCCGTCTCAAAAAAAAAAAAGAAATTCATCAAAAGCTGTGATCTGAATATTATATCCTCCAAAATCCTTACGTTGAAATCCTAACCTCCAAGGTGATGATATTAGGAGGTGGGCCTTTGGGGAGGTAACTAGGTCACAAAGGTAAGAGCCCTCATGAATGGAATTGGTGCCGTTGTAAGATAGACCCAAGGTAGCTCATTAGCCCCTTTCACCTTTTGGGGACACAGTGAGAAGGCACCAACTATGAAGCAGGAAATGAACCCTGGCACCAACTATGAAGCAGGAAATGAACCCTCCCCAGATACCAAATCTGTGGGCAGCTTGATCTTGGACTTCCCAGCCTCCAGAACTGTACGAAATAAATATTTGTTGCTTATGAGCCACCCAGTTTATGGTATTTTTGTTGTAGCAGCCCGAATGGAGTATGACATGAAATGAGTAGCATTGGTGACTTAAGGAGAATATAGTGACAGGGAGAGCCAATAAAACAGTTATTCCTCCTCTCTTGTTTTACTGTTTTTGGCTTGGTGAGAGAAGAGTATTTTGAGGAAAAAGGCAGAAATCTCATGTGTAAAGGGCAGAGGTAAATCAAGAATTGACAGTATCTGAAATGTTATGAACTCTCACATTTCAAAAGACGCCTGAAAGACAGAAAGTCATTTACATGGCATTTAGGAGCTGTCTATAGCTTCTTTTTTTTTTTTTTTTAATTGATCATTCTTGGGTGTTTCTCGCAGAGGGGGATTTGGCAGGGTCACAGGACAATAGTGGAGGGAATGTCAGCAGATAAACAAGTGAACAAAGGTCTCTGGTTTTCCTAGGCAGAGGACCCTGCGGCCTTTCGCAGTGTTTGTGTCCCTGGGTACTTGAGATTAGGGAGTGGCGATGACTCTTAACGAGCATGCTGCCTTCAAGTATCTGTTTAACAAAGCACATCTTGCACCACCCTTAATCCATTCAACCCTGAGTGGACACAGCACATGTTTCAGAGAGCACAGGGTTGGGGGTAAGGTCACAGATCAACAGGATCCCAAGGCAGAAGAATTTTTCTTAGTACAGAACAAAATGAAAAGTCTCCCATGTCTACCTCTTTCTACATAGACTCGGCAACCATCCGATTTCTCAATCTTTTCCCCACCTTTCCCCCTTTTCTATTCCACAAAACCGCCATTGTCATCATGGCCCGTTCTCAATGAGCTGTTGGGTACACCTCCCAGACGGGGTGGCGGCCGGGCAGAGGGGCTCCTCACTTCCCAGTAGGGGCGGCCGGGCAGAGGCGCCCCTCACCTCCCGGATGGGGCGGCTGGCCGGGCAGGGGGCTGACCCCCCCAACTCCCTCCCAGACGGGGCGGCTGGCTGGGCGGGGGGCTGACCCCCCACCTCCCTCCCGGACGGGGCTGCTGGCTGGGCAGAGGGGCTCCTCACTTCCCAGTAGGGGCAGCCAGGCAGAGGCACCCCTCACCTCCCGGATGGGGCGGCTGGCCGGGCGGGGGGTGACCCCCCAACCTCCCTCCCGGACGGGGCGGCTGGCCGGGCGGGGGGCTGACCTCCCCACCTCCCTCCCGGACGGGGCTGCTGGCCGGGCGGGGGGCTGACCCCCCCACCTCCCTCCCGGACGGGGCAGCTGGCCAGGCAGAGGGGCTCCTCTCTTCCCAGTAGAGGCGGCCGGGCAGAGGCGCCCCTCACCTCCTGGACGGGGCTGCTGGCCGGGCGGGGGGCTGACCCCCCCCACCTCCCTCCCGGATGGGGCGGCTGGCCGGGCGGGGGGCTGACCCCCCCACCTCCCTTCCGGACGGGGCGGCTGCCGGGCGGAGACGCTCCTCACTTCACAGACGGGGTGGCTGCCGGGCGGAGGGGCTCCTCACTTCTCAGACGGTGTGGCTGCCGGGCGGAGGGGCTTCTCACTTCTCAGACGGGGTGGTTGCCAGGCAGAGGGTCTCCTCACTTCTCAGACGGGGCGGCCGGGCAGAAACGCTCCTCACATCCCAGATGGGGCGGCAGGGCAGAGGCGCTCCCCACATCTCAGACGATGGGCGGCCGGGCAGAGACGCTCCTCACTTCCTAGATGGGATGGCGGCCGGGCAGAGACGCACCTCACTTTCCAGACTGGGCAGCCAGGCAGAGAGGCTCCTCACATCCCAGACGATGGGCGGCCAGGCAGAGACGCTCCTCACTTCCCAGACGGGGTGGCGGCCGGGCAGAGGCTGCAATCTCGGCACTTTGGGGGGCCAAGGCAGGCAGCTGGGAGGTGGAGGTTGTAGCGAGCCGAGATCACGCCACTGCACTCCAGCCTGGGCACCATTGAGCACTGAGTGAACGCAACTCCGTCTGCCATCCCGGCACCTCGGGAGGCCGAGGCTGGCGGATCACTCGCGGTTAGGAGCTGGAGACCAGCCCGGCCAACACAGCGAAACCCCATCTCCACCAAAAAAATACGAAAACCAGTCAGGCGTGGCGGCGCGCCTGCAATCGCAGGCACTCGGCAGGCTGAGGCAGGAGAATCAGGCAGGGAGGTTGCAGTGAGCCGAGATGGCAGCAGTACAGTCCAGCTTCGGCTCGGCATCAGAGGAAGACCGTGGCAAGAGAGGGAGAGGGAGACCGTGGGGAGACGGAGAGGGAGAGGGAGAGGGAGAGGGAGAGGGACTATAGCTTCTTTTCCCAAGAAAAATTATACCTAAGGAAGAAATTTCCAAATTTCTGCCATGTAGAATGATTTTACATCCAAATCTTGTTCACACTTTAATTTCTAGTTCAGAAAAGTCCCTTGTTTCACCTGCTCTCAAAACTGGAACTGGAAGTAATCTCTTTCATCTCTGAATTCTTTTTTTTTTTTTTTTTTTTTTTTGAGACGAGTCTCACACTGTAGCCCAGGCTGGAGTGCAGTGGTGTGATCTTGGCTCACTGCAACCTCAGCCTCCCGGGTTCAAGAGATTCTCCTGCCTCAGCCTCCTGAGTAGCTGGGATTACAGGTACGTGTTACCATGCCCTGCTAATTTTTGTATCTTTAGCAGAGATGGGGTTTTACCCTGTTGGCCAGGCTGGTCTCGAACTCCTGGCCTCAAGTGATCCACCCGCCTCGGCCTCCCAAAGTGCTAGGATTACAGGCATGAGCCACCGCACCCAGCCCTCATCTCTGAATTCTGATCTCGTTTTACCTCTACCTCTCTTGTGAGCTGCCCATGGTCTGCCTTGTTCTCAAGACATTTACTCTCAGCTCTGTAAGCACCTTCATGCAGGTGATGAATTCATCTTCCATAGTGCTGGCATGTGGGTGCTCAGGGAATACTTGTTGAATAAAAACCAAATGAATTAACTCATGAATAAAAAATCCTTCCTATAGGAACCTATCACTAACCTGGCATTAAGAATTTCTTAATTCAGACTGAGTGCAGTGGCTCACGCCTGTAATCCCAGAACTTTGGGAGGCCGAGGCAGGCAGATCACCTGAGGTCGGGAGTTTGAGACCAGCCTGACCAACATGGAGAAACCCCATATCTACTGAAAATACACAAAAATTAGCCAGGCGTGATGGCGCATGCCTATAATTCCAGCTACTCTGGAGGCTGAGGCAGGAGAATCGCTTGAACCTGGGAGGTAGAGGTTGCGGTGAGCCAAGATCATGCCATTGCACTCCAGCCTGGGCAAAAAGAGCGAAATTCCATCTCAAAAAAATAAAAATTTTAAAAAAAAGAAGAATTTCTTAATTCAAAAAGCACAACAGCTCTAGAGGGCACTGGAACGCATTTGAAAGATCAGTCATACACTGATGCATAATGTGTTAATATCTCATTCTAGTCTCCAAAATTTTTCCTTGATTCTAAGAAGAGTAGTAGTAGATTTTAATTAAAATTGCATGCTTCTACCTGGATATACTTTTTGAGAATTTTCTCATGTTTAGAGCTTAAAAAATAAGCGTATTCTCTTGAAATGTAACTTGTATGCAAAAGTCTTAAGAAGACAGCCTCTCCTAGGGTTTTTATGGTTTTAGGTCTAACGTTTAAGTCTTTAATCCATCTTGAATTAATTTTTGTATAAGGTGTAAGGAAAGGATCCAGTTTCAGCTTTCTACATATGGCTAGCCAGTTTTCCCAGCACCATTTATTAAATAGGGAATCCTTTCCCCATTGCTTGTTTTTCTCAGGTTTGTCAAAGATCAGATAGTTGTAGATACGCAGCGTTATTTCTGAGGGCTCTGTTCTGTTCCATTGATCTATATCTCTGTTTTGGTACCAGTACCATGCTGTTTTGGTTACTGTAGCCTTGTAGTATAGTTTGAAGTCAGGTAGTGTGATGCCTCCAGCTTTGTTCTTTTGGCTTAGGATTGACTTGGCGATGTGGGCTCTTTTTTGGTTCCATATGAACTTTAAAGTAGTTTTTTCCAATTCTGTGAAGAAAGTCATTGGTAGCTTGATGGGGATGGCATTGAATCTATAAATTACCTTGGGCAGTATGGCCATTTTCACGATATTGATTCTTCCTACCCATGAGCATGGAATGTTCTTCCATTTGTTTGTATCCTCTTTTATTTCCTTGAGCAGCGGTTTGTAGTTCTCCTTGAAGAGGTCCTTCACATCCCATGTAAGTTGGATTCCTAGGTATTTTATTCTCTTTGAAGCAATTGTGAATGGGAGTTCACTCATGATTTGGCTCTCTGTTTGTCTGTTATTGGTGTATAAGAATGCTTGTGATTTTTGCACATTGATTTTGTATCCTGAGACTTTGCTGAAGTTGCTTATCAGCTTAAGGAGATTTTGGGCTGAGACAATGGGGTTTTCTAGATATACAATCATGTCATCTTCAAACAGGCATTACCATTCAGGACATAGGCATGGGCAAGGACTTCATGTCTAAAACACCAAAAGCAATGGCAACAAAAGCCAAAATTGACGAATGGGGTCTAATTAAACTAAAGAGCTTCTGCACAGCAAAAGAAACTACCATCAGAGTGAACAGGAAACCTACAAAATGGGAGAAAATTTTCGCAACCTACTCATCTGACAAAGGGCTAATATCCAGAATCTACAATGAACTCAAACAAATTTACAAGAAAAAAACAAACAACCCCATCAAAAAGTGGGCAAAGGATATGAACAGACACTTCTCAAAAGAAGACATTTATGCAGCCAAAAAAACACATGAAAAAATGCTCACCATCACTGGCCATCAAAGAAATGCAAATGAAAACCACAATGAGATACCATCTCACACCAGTTAGAATGGCAATCATTAAAAAGTCAGGAAACAACAGGTGCTGGAGAGGATGTGGAGAAATAGGAACACTTTTACACTGTTGGTGGGACTGTAAACTAGTTCAACCATTGTGGAAGTCAGTGTGGCGATTCCTCAGGGATCTAGAACTAGAAATACCATTTGACCCAGCCATCCCATTACTGGGTATATACCCAAAGGACTATAAATCATGCTGCTATAAAGACACGTGCACATGTATGTTTATTGTGGCACTATTCACAATAGCAAAGACTTGGAACCAACCCAAATGTCCAACAAGGATAGAATGGATTAAGAAAATGTGGCACATATACACCATGGAATACTATGCAGCCATAAAAAATGATGAGTTCATGTCCTTTGTAGGGACATGGATGAAATTGGAAATAATCATTCTCAGTAAACTATCGCAACAAGGACAAAAAACCAAGCACCACATGTTCTCACTCATAGGTGGGAATTGAACAATGAGAACACATGGACACAGGAAGGGGAACATCACACTCTGGGGACTGTTGTGGGGTGGGGGAAAGAGGGAGGGATAGCATTAGGAGATATACCTAATGCTAAATGACGAGTTAATGGGTGCAGCACACCAGCATGGCACATGTATACATATGTAACTAACCTGCACATTGTGCACATGTACCCTAAAACTTAAAGTATAATAATAATAAAATAAAAAAATAAAAAAAGAAGCCTCTCATTTGAATCAAAGACTCAGAAGGCATAAGACTAATACGTTTTATTTAAACTTCTGAAATGAATTTTGGTTTGGAATTAGATCTGAATATATAGGTCTAAACCCTAGTTTAGAGTCTTGAGTGTTTTAAGAATTAGAATTTTCCTGGGTCACATGCTGACTTTCACTTTCTGGAAATGTTTTAAAATGAGCGTACAAGAATTTTATAATGATCTCAAAATACACAAAATGATTGTTCACGAAAAGGAAGAGCAAGTGTGGAGAAATGAGAAACCAGTTCGCAGCAAACAGAAATAAAAAGGGGATGGAATTAAAACTTCTCTTGCTGAGAAATCAGATTCTCATAGAACAACCGTTCCAACTCCATTCATTTAGATGAACTCCGTTCATTTAGATAATAGCTTGAAGTGTAATTATTCCCCGTGGACCTTTGCGCTGACACTTCACAGCATTTGCCTCAGAGATCAGTCGTTATGGCTTGTTCAATACCCGTTTTCTCCACCAGAGGGCAGCAAGAGGCCGCACCAAGATTACTCTCTAAATGAGTCATTCTGGCTTCAGTGAGAAGCCACGTGGAGGAACCTACTACGTTGCAGCCCTCCTCTGCAAACCAAGATCCGCAACCTCAGACAGAATGGAGACAAATCGCCTTATCCCTGGCAGAAGATTTTCAGATAATCGGAGAAACGTCTCACAGGCAAATGCACATGATTTCAAGGCTTGCCCTCTGAAGAAGGAGTCAGTGGTGGTTTTGGACAGGAATGGCATCACTTAAATGTATTTTCAAGGAGCAGAGTCACCTGATGCTGAGAACGGCTAGACTAAAAAAAAAAAAAGAAAGAAAAAAAGTTGATAGGTACTCGAATGTGTTTTATCTGCGTTAAATACGAAATGCCCAAGAATGGGACTTGGAGAAAATGAAATCATTATTTCTACTCTTTGACAGCCTTGAGACAAAATTTCCAAGTCAAATTTATAAGGCCTCGGATTTGGTTGCTTGTTTTGCTTTCTTCTGTCTTGCCAGTTACCTCCTGAGAGTTGGGCAAAGATCAGTAAGATCCCTTTGCTGTGGCTGCCAGCAAGTCTGTGCCTGATTTGACGAGATTCTGAAAAGGTACCAGTGCCTCCTCCCTCCAAGGCCTCTCGTGGAACATAACACCCTAGAACTATGCCAAGAGACAGAGCCAAGCCACATTTCAGTGTCTGCTGCTGCACCAAGCTCTGAGCAGAGGCCATCTTTTCTGCTCAAGAAGTTGTTACTGAATTCTTTCAAGTGCTTGCTTTGGGGACAAAAATGATCAAGAAAGATAGTCTCTGTACAACCAACATTTCCAGGAAACCCATTATTTGTGCATTATCTGTATACTCACAAACACACATAAGCACATGCACACATGCCAAGACACAAAAAGTTTTCAGTTAAGAGAGTCATGTTCCTAAAAGCTTTATCTTTTACACCAGTATTTATTGCTGTCTATCTTCATAAGGTCTACTGTGGGAGATGCTGGCATAGAAAGAACTTTGCCTCAGGAATATACGAGAAAACATAATCAGGGCAGAAAGCAGAGGTATTCAAATAACAAGGTCCTAAAGTGTGTTGCAGCTGATACATGAACTCACATCTAACTCAGGTCAACTCTGGGATAAAAATGAGCATCGAACAGTCTCCTCCCACAAGTATGTAGGCACCATGAGAACAGCAATGTTTAGTTTCTTGTTCCATCCTAAGTGCCCGGAACATTTCTGATGCTCAATTAATGTTTGCCAAATAACAAAAACACTTAGGGAATGTACCATATCAGAGACAAACATACCGTCTCTCAGTAAGTCCCTCCAGCATTAACACAGATTGTGATTTCTTTAGGTTGACACTAGCTGAAGTAGTTGGCTTGGATTTAGGGGCCATGTTGTATGCATCGTTAACAACAATCATATCTAAAGGAGCAAGAAGCTCACCCAGGAGAAGTGTGTGGGCACAGATACTGGTGGAATGAATGGAAGACTCCCATCTAACGCTCTCTCAGGAGGGTTGCTGGATTTAGCAAATAAAAATACAAGGTATTCAGTTACATTTGAATTTCCGATAAATGAGTTTAGCATGGGACAAACTTATATTCAAAAATATTCATTATGTATCTGAAATTCAAAATGAACTTGGCCTCCTGTATTTTACCTGGCAAACCTACCATGGGGCATACACTTTCTGAGTGGAAAGGTGGGAGGATGGTCTGACTTTTTCAATTGTAACCTCTCTTTCTCTCTGGGCACATAGGTTGTATCCTTTTAACTTTAATGTATGAATGCCATTGTAGTATGATAATCACAGTGGATTCCATTTAATCCCATTAAGTGTGCCATCAGAAATCCCAGTATTTTGAAAATGTTCCCTGAGCTTAACGATTTGAGAACCACTAGTGTACAAACTTTAGTAAGCAGCCTTCTTTAATCTGAAGGAAGGGTGTGCCCTATAATCTTCTTCCTCCCCTTCACATTGGGAAATTATTTCTGGGCGGATACCTTTGTTCAAAAGGTTGAAAATAGGCTTAGATGGCACTGTATTTCCTAAGTAACTTCCTGCCAATTATCAACCTCTTCATTATAAAGTGGGTCTAATACCCCACTCAGGGGGTGACGCAGGGGTTCCTAATGGAAGAGTATGGGAAAAAAGGACTCAATTAAGTGATGATAATATGAACTCAACTTTTCCAACACAAATAAGGCTTAGAAAAAGTGATCCCCAGACTTCTGTTCAAAACATCTTGTATTAGTCCTGGACCACAGCCAGTCTTTCCTGAGAACCCACACCTAGCTGTGACTCTAAACAAGTGATGAGTTCCTAGTCACAGTCTTAAAGAGACCAGGTCCGCCTGAGCAGCCCTGTGCTTTATGGGCCAACTCAGCCAGAAGCTTCAATGAATAACCATGATACCTTGAGTGGAGGCAGGAGGAGTGGCCGGAGGCAGAGGAATCCAGCTACTAACCAGGGAAAGGATTCAAATAGATGCTTTTCCATTAGAAAGTCTCTGTTCAAATGACCTCAAGGCTTAAAATTATAGAATTTTGTAAAGAAAATTCTCTTTTGTCACCTATAAGCATTATCACTTTTTATTGAATTATACTATAAACAAATATTGTTTAATTGAATGAGACTAATTAAATCAATGAAAATACAATGTTTACCTTTTCTGGAAACCTTCAGTATATTATATGGCATTTAAGGCATTTTACAAATTAACACCAATCTATCTTTCCAATCTTATTTCCTTCTGCTTCTTTCTGGGACTACTACATTCTAGCCAGAGGTTTCTGCACCTTGGCACTGTTGACATTTTGAAGGGGAGAATTCTTTGTTGTAGGAACTATCCTGTGCATTGTAGGATATTTAGTGGCATCTCTGGCCTCTATCCACTGGATACCAGTAGAACATACCCTCCCCGTGCAAGAGTGTGACAATTTAAAAATGTCTGTAGGCATTGTCAAATGTACCCTGGGGGGCAAAATCACCCCCATGAAGAACCATTGGGGGGCAAAATCACCAGCACTGAGGACTACTGCTCTGTCCCACAAGACAACTTTCCCTGCTATGAACACATTTTCTCAAGCTCTACCCACACTCCCCCACCACACCACACACACCTTTCACTCCTGTTCCCTTGACCTAAAACACCCTGCTTTCCCCCTTTCCATTGACAAACTTGTATTTATTCTCCAAGGCCTAAATCAAATGCTATCCTACATAGCTTTCCTTACAATCTATGCCAACTTTCCCTCCTCTAGGCTGCTGTGGGCATTGCACACATCTTTACTTGTACTAATAGTGTTGACCATATGATGTTGCAATTATTTATTCACCCTTCCCTCCTTCTCCCGAGAGGCTATTTCTCAAGAGCAAGGTCTGTGTAACTATACTACCCAGCATGGTTTTCTGTCCATGCATGTCTCTGTGAGAGAGAGAGAGACAGAGAGAGAGAGTGTGTGTGTGTGTGTGTGTGTGTGATCTGACAAATAAATATATACAGCACTCTGCTTTGTTAAAGTGTAAGACAAAGTCCTAAGCTATACCATTTACTATATTTCCTAAAGAAACATGTGGATTTTAGTTCTCATCATGTAGATTAATTGGTTAGACTAGATCTCACTAGACCTTATGTTCCCACAAATCTGGATTACTATTTTTCCAAATATGCATGGTATTTTCCCATCTCTACATCACTGTGGAAATTGTTTTCTTCACCTGGAAAGTTCTGCTCTCCTTTCTCCCTGTCAAAATCCTCCTCAAACACCACCTCTACTTTTCACAGTCCTGGACACACACACACCATGCACACACACCACTCACACACACACACAAAACACACATGCAACACACATGCTGTGGTTTCTTCTTTCTGAGAGAGCCCTTGCTTTTTTATCTTCTTTTCTAACTCTCCTAACTTTCTGTCTTATCCCCAATGGTCTCCTCTTAAAGTTAGATTGTACTCCTTGAAGGCAAAGACTTCTTCCTCTTTCTACTTCTGCAGCTCCTCATACAGTGACTTGCACATACTCATACTAAGTATTGAGTAAGAATTTGTTACATTGAAGAGAAAAATCAGAGATTGTCTTGAAAACACTGAGTTAATATCCAGACAAAAGTGTGGGTAAATTCAGAAAGAGAATGGATTTTGACAGCAGCAGAGTCAAACTTTAGAAAGATGAACTCATCTGGGCTGGGAAATAATGAAGATGCACCATCAGACACCCATGGTGGTTCAAGGGCAAGGTGAAACCATAATAACAAAGATGGCAAAGACCATTTTGGAGTAACAGAAATGGGATTGGGTGCCTAATTGGAAATGGGGCAAGGGGAAGAGAGGAGTGAGGAATGAATAATATCATTCCAATCCTGAGTGGGTGCTGGGGTCATCAAAATATAAAGGCTTGGGGGAGAAAGAAAGAAAGTCAGCATTTGAGAAGCCAGTGAGCTACCTCAAGGAAAATATCACAGAAATAATTGGAAATGTGAGAGTGAGGCTCAGAGAAGCCGAAGGACCTGGAGACAGGGTTTGGGAGCCAGTCATCTAGCTGAGGCCAAGGATCATTAGGGGATGACTGAGGGGTAGGGTCTGTGAAAAGAGAAGGGAAGACGGACTGGTGGGGAAGGGAGTAGCTGAGGAACAGTGCTACAAAAGCCAGGAGGGAACGAGGTTTCAATAACGTGAACATTTCAAGAATTGAAAGGATGCAGAAGTTGGTGAGTATGAGGGCTGGAGATGTGCCAGTAGACTTGTGGATTGGATATCTGCTGACTTTTGGGAGATGAGACTCAGTGGGGAGCAGGGGCTAAAAGCTGTTAGATCAGGCTTGAAGGAGCGGTGAGAATGTAACAGCTGAGAGTGAAGAAACCAATTTCCTCAACAAGTATGTTAGTAAAAGGAAGGTGATAGGTACCCGAATATCTTGAGGGAATTGCAGAGTTTAAAAAAGTTTTGTTTGTTTTCAGGTTGTGCAAGACTGAACCTTGCTTGTTGAAGGAGGGTAAGGAACTGGAAAGTAGATTTTGAAGCACTAAGAGAGAAAACTGAATAAGCAAAGTCTTGCAGGTGTGCTGGGATTGGCCTCCCTGAGGAAGGGCTGCCTTTGGAAGGAATAAGGGTATCTACCCCTGAGAGAGAAGGAAAGAACAGGTTAGGAGTGAGGAATCACATAACTAAGGCAATGAAGAGAGTGAAAGGACCCACCTCTAGACATTTTCACTCTACTGGAGCAAGAGGGTAGATGGTGAGCCAAGGCCATGGGGTTTGTGAAGCTGGAGTTCCACACACATGATAAATGTCTCAGGGAATTGACAAGATATTTAAAGGATTGAAAAGCAGCAGTGAGGTCCCAGGATTCCTTTCAGATGGAGGTATCTTTTTCTAGAAAATTCCTTTGCATCCTTCAACACTCAGCTCAAATGTTCCCTTCTCCGGCTCACCCAGGTGGAAACAAAACTCATGGGAGTCATCCTGTCTCCCTGCAACTCCACAACCGTTCTAAAAATATTTACCTTGTTGTATTTGACATTTTATGTTCTCTCATTTGTCTCTCTCACTAGTTCTTGAGTTTCTAATTGGATAAAGATCATAATTTATCTCTAAATTCCCAGTGTCTGGGAACATGGCTAACACATATTAAGTGCTCAAAGGGTAAAGCGCAAGTGAATGAATGGAGAGATGAACACAAGAATGAATAATATTTTCCCCACTGGTGGAAGCTGACTTTTGCTTATAGCATCATTCATTAATGAGAGGAGGGAGAGTCCCAAGGAAGTCTGGTCCTCTTTTCTGGCTGCACAAGATGAGTGAAAAACTGCACATATGGCTACATGTGAAGTCAAAGCAAATGAGAACAATCATAGCCATGAAATGAATTTGAAATGCAAATAGGTTTCTCAAAACCCATATGCAGTTCTGAATAGCAGAAAAAAAGAGTGGGAGGATGGGGAACTGAGAGAAGAAAGGGACCAAGCCCAAGAGATAATTTTCAGTTGGGAACGGAATGACTTCCTAAATCGTAGAGTGTGTGGTCCAGAAAGCAGAGAGCCACAGATGCAGTTACTGTAAAAAGCCCCTCGTGACTTTTTTTTGGAAAAAAGAAAGTCTGTTTTGAATCTGGCTATCTCTCTAGCATAGCTTTGCCTTAAAAAGCCATGGCTCCATGAAATGCTGTTTCAGGTGGAAATCAGTTTAATGTGAATATGTGATACTTTGCAATACTGGTGAGTCTATTTACTGAACCCCTACTGTGTATTCTGCGTGTCTGTCTTTATTTTTCACAACCTTCCTGCTAGATGGGTGTGATTATCCCTGTTTTACATATGAAGAAACTGAGACAAGGAACAGATAGGGAAGGAACCTAGGATTGGACTGGTACACAAGGCCTAGATTAAAGACCAAGTCTTTCTAACTGGAAAACCCATATCTGTCCACTCTATTACACGATACTCCATCAAGTGTAATTAGAAACAGGCGCCATGGGGATGCATAGAATCAAGGACAGCTTTATGGGCACACTACCTGTGAAGGCATATGGACCCCATGTGTAGGAGGGTCTGGTGCTTGGTTTAATGTTCTGCTGCTACCGTCTTGAAATTCTCATTTTGCACAGGCATTTTCATCTTGCACTGGGCCCCACAAACGATGGAGACAGTACTGCATAGAATCAGAATGTTGGAGCTGGAAGGACTTTGAGAGGTCATCCGTTCCACCCCCACCCATCTTGCAGATGAAGAAACTGAAGCTAGGACAGTAGCACTGGCCATCTTCAGTCACAAGCTCATTCACGTCAGAGCAACAGTATAACCCAGGCCCCACAGAGTGTTTCCCCTTTGCTGCAGGAGCTTATCTCCAGCCAAAATATCACTTGTGGCTGAGCTGGGTCAAGTCATTTCACTCCTGGGCAAATGGCCCTGGACTTTTCATGAAACCAAAGGCACATAAACCTGAATGTGATTCCAGCAAAACCGCAATGTCTACTCTGTGGTAAAGGAAACCTTTAGCTGGGTGTCTCACCAAACACCTCTCTCTCCTGCCCAAACCTCACCAACATGCATTTCCTATGCTGGGTGTGCCAGCTCAGCCAGGATAAGGGGGTGGTCATTGCCAGGGCAGTGAGAGAGAGGTCAGGCTTAAGGCCAGGGCTCAGCTCCCACCAAACCTGGCCCACAGAGGGACGAGCATTTGGCCCAAGGCATAGATATTCCACATCTACTAAATCGATACCACATTAATCCCCTTCAGAAGGGCCTCTTAGAGCTATCCTCAGGTCATTAAGACAAATAACCAAGCATTTGTAAGAGTTTGTACTCATCTCTTCCATGCCCACATATTTGGACGCTCCAAAAGAGGACGTAATACTCTGTCAGCCTACAAAACATGGATTTGCAGCCAGGCGTGGTGGCTCACACCTGTAATTCCAGCACTTTAGGAGGCTGAGGCAGGTGGATCACTTGAGGTCAGGAGTTCAAGACCAGCTTGGCCAATATGGTGAAACCCCATCTCTACTGAAATACAAAAATTCACTGGGCGTAGTGGGGCGCACCTGTAATCCCAGCTACTTGGGAGGCTGAGGCAGGAGAATCACTTGAACCTTGGAGGCAGAGGTTGCAGTGAACCGAGATCACACCACTGCATTCCAGCCTGGGGGACAGAGCTAGACTCCATCTGAAATGAAAAAAAATAAAAAAGAAGACATGGATTTGCCTCAGACACACAGGAGTTGGTGGCTCTGCTTAGTGGAGAGCCAGGGCTGAGATGCATTGGGTTGTTTTGAAACCACATGTGTCTGCCCCAGCCCAAAGGACAGAAGTGTGGCACATACAGATGACCAAGGAAACTTGACTGTGTCTTAAAAGAGCCTCTTTTGGCCAGACGTGGTGGCTCATGCCTGTAATCCCAGCACTTTGGGAGGCTGAGGCAGGCAGATCATGAGGTCAGAAGTTCAAGACCAGCCTGGCCAATATGGTGAAACTCCGTCTGTACTAAAAATACAAAAATTAGCAAGGCATGGTGGTGCACACCTGTAGTCCCAGCTAATCAGGAGGCTGAGGCAGAAGAATCACTTGAACCCGGGAGGCAGAGGTTGCAGTGAGCCAAGATCATGCCACTACACTCCAGCCTGGGCAACAGAGTGAGACTCCATCTAAAAAAAAAAAAAAAAAAAAAAAAAGCCTCTCTTGGTTTCCTGGAATTGTGGTAAGGTTTTGCCTGTAGGAACAGTAAGAACAATTTTCGTTTTCAGGTTAGTGAGATAGGACGGACACGCATAAGCCCCACCTAACATGGAAGCAAGATGAGAGCAGGGAATTTGACTTCTTTTGTTCACTGATGCATCTCGGGTACCTGAAAAAGGCCTAGCAGATAGCAGGTGCTCAATAATTACTTGATATGCGAATGAATGCTACTGTGATCTTGAAGGATCCTTAAGCCATCCATATAAAAATGAATAGTATAGGGTCATAGATTTTTTTCATTTATCAATAATATGACAACCAAGGAGGGGTACTCGGAAACTCTGAGGAGGTAGAATGGGTCCACAGTGTCTTGTGTGTGCTTAATCCAAATGACAACAAGCAAGGGGGGGAATATTAGAAGTTACTATTTCATTTATTGGATTATTCCCCCATGGCTCTATGGATTTTGACTCATTCTAGAAACTCTACCAGACAATGGGGGTGAGTATTGCCCAGCCTTCACCTCCCTTCCCTTCTTGGGATATTTTTTCTCTATTCTACACAGTCTTGATGGGACTGGAAATTGAAATGCTAATACAGCCAGGAGGTGGGCCTAGGAGTCAAGAGCAACCAATTATACCCTTTTCTCAGGTCTTTCCATTTTAAGTAGACCAAAGCAAGGATGCAAAAGAAAAATGAATGGAGGATTTTTTTCCAGCAGCGATGACCAGTGTGGCTTCTGCCACCTGGATGTCCTGAGCCTCTGTGGCTCCTGCCCTGATTTCTGTGGCTTCTTGTCCTTTATGTGAGCTCTCCAGTATACCACCAATACATTCCTCTGTTATTTAAGTTAGCCAGGGTTTGCTTCCATTGCTTGGAGCAATAGAACCCTAGTTGACTTATCTGATTTCATAACTGACTGCTAGTTAGCATCAGAAGCTTTGCAAACAAATAGCCCCAATGGGTATCCCAGTTAGGAACAGCCTGGAGTGCCCAGGACCTCTCCAATCTCCACCCCTGATTCTAGCCTCCGATGAGTCAACTACCATACCCGTCTGGTTTTAGGGGGACACAGGCAAATCAGTTGGGGACATCAATGCCCCAAGTTTCCATTTGTCTTAACCTCACCTCCCACCATGGAATCACCATCTTCAGAACAGTCCAAGGGCTGCATGACCTGTGGGCTCTGCTCTGGTCTGGGCCTTGAAGGCAGTGATCATGTCTCAGAAATCTTCATTCCCTGTGCTTGGTCCTAAGTAGGCAGTTAGAGTTCAAGCTGAGAAGTATGCCGATGGCTTAGAGCTGTGGCCCTCAACCCTAGTCATACCTTTAAATCACCTCGAATTTTTTTTAAAATGCAGATACTCAGATCAAAAATTCATCTGAGTTGTTCTGGAGTAGGACTCAGGAATTTTTCTGATTTTTGTTTGGTTTGATTTTGAGACAGAGTTTTGCTGTGTCACCCAGGCTGGAATGCAGTGGTGTGATTTCAACTCACTGCAACCTCTGCCTCCCGGGTTCAAGCAATTCTCCTACCTGAGCCTCCCAAGTAGCTAGGACTACAGGCATGTACCACCTCACCTGGCTAATTTTTTGTATTTATTTTATTTATTTTTTTTTAGTAGAGACAGGGTTTCACCGTGTTGGCCAGGCTGGTCTCGAACTCCTGACCTCAGATGATCCACCCACCTCGTCCTTCCAAAGTGCTGGGATTACAGGCATGAGCCACCCTGCCCAGCCTCTAATTTTACTTTTTGAAATAGTTTTAAACCAACAGAAAAATTACAAGAGTACTCTCTTTACCCAGATTCCCTAATTATTAGTTATTAACCTTTTAGAAAGAAAGAAATAGATATCTATGTGTGTACACATATACACATATGTGTGACTAGTTATACAGAAGTATATATATATTTTTTGTTTGCTCATACATATGTGTGTATATTTATAGAGAAAGAGAGAAATGAACTGAATTTATTATAATCTTTTTTTCTGACATCATGACCCATAACTCCTACAGATTCCAGCATATACTTTCCCCAAACAAGAACATTCTTCTGTATTACCATGTAATACCTTTCCAGTCTGAAAATCTGCATCAACCAACACTACCTTCCAATCCGGTAATCCCATTCAAGTTTCTCCAACAGTCCCAATACCATGTTTTTCCTTGTTCCAGGAATATTTATTGTCTCATTGTTCTCCTTCAGTCTGGAACAGTTCCTCGTTCTTTCTCTGGCTCTGGATCTGCGTCCCTGACAGTCTTAAAGAGGACAGACCTTTCATTCATGAGGATGACCCTCAACTTGGCCCAGTCCATGTTTCCTCAGACTCAAGCCTTGCATTCCTGGCAGAAAGACTGAAGAAATGATGCTGTGCTCTTCTCAGTGCTTCGCGTCAGGAGGCTCTACTCTCTCAACCGGCCCCACTATTGGTAATGTTAACCTTGGTCACTTAGCCAAATTTGTGTCTGCCATTGTGAAGTCATCATTTTTCCTTTGTATTTGATTAGTACTTTCTGGGGACATATTTCAATGTCACACCAATATCCTATTCCTCATCAAACCTTCACCCAGCAGCTGAGTATCCATGAATGACTCTTACCTTTGTCAACCACTGTAGGTTGACTGCCAGATGGAGATCGTCTATTGCCAACATTTAAAATGGTCTATGTTCTATTGTAAGAAAGAGCCTTACTTTCCCCTTCATTTGGTTGTTTATATATTCACTCATTTATATCCATGTGGGCTTGTGCACTCTTATTTTATTCATTGAATTTCAATCCAGTATTTTCATTATTTATTTTGATGCTTTGATTGTCTCCGATTTGGCTAGTAGGGAGCTCCTTCATGCAAACTTCTCTCTCCTTCTGACATGTCCCTGTCATTTTTTGAGCACTTCTTTATTTTCTGTCACAAGATAATTCAGGCTCATTTTTTTCTTTCCTTGCCCTAGCCCTATAATCAGCCATTCCTCCAGGAGCTTGGCTTCTTTTTGTGGAGGGGATATTTAAAAGCCAAGATCTGGGAACTTGGTGTGTATATTGCTACATGTTTCTATAATTGTTTCTATATCTATATATATTTGAAAATTCATAAGTTTCTACCAATACTTCCAATTTCAATCCAACATCTGAGGATCTCCCTAGATTTCCTATTTCCATGATTATAACTCTTGTACCAGATGATAAGAAACATGGATCTGACTATACTCAATTTATTCACATATTTTCTCAGTGAACTAACTTATTTGCTGAATATAACCAGTCCCCAGCCTTCCAACTGCCTCTCTCACTTGCCACCTCTGCATCTTCCCCCACTGTCTTCCTCAGCAATCAGACTGCCTCTTGCCAAGTCATCACCACAGCACCCCCTCCTCCCTCACTGTCCTGATCCCTTAGATGAAGATGAGAAGAGAAAAGAAAGCATTAGTATTTTTACTACATACTTAGAATCCAAGTGATTCTAAGTATGTAGGCAGACTTATGTACATCACTTGGACCATGTAAGTAATAGGCATACAATACTTACATCTAAGCCTGAGTCCCAAATTATCAAACACACCATATGACATTTTCCTGGAAGCATTCCTTTTTTGGTAAGGATTCAGTGTTTCACGATTATGAGTGGAGTTGGCAGGTCCCTGGAAGTGGTAGGGAGTCATAAGACTTCAGAAACAAGATGGTGTCTTAGTCAGTTCAGGCTGCTGCAACACATTACCGAAGAGTGGGTGACTCAAACAATACACATTTATTTCTCATAGTACTAGAAGCTGGGAAGTCCAAGATCAAGGTGCCAGCAGGTCCAGTGTCTGGGGAGGGCCTGCTTCCTGGCTTGCAGATGAACATCTTCTCATGACATCCTCACATGACAGAGAACAGAAAGAGACAGCAAGCTCTTGGGTCTCTTTCTATAAGGGCACTAATCTTATTGATAAAGGCTCCACACTCATGACCTAATTACCTCCCAAAGGCCCAACCTTCTCATACCATCACATTGGGGATTAAGATTTCAACATATGAATGTGGGGAAGGACACAAACATTCAGTCCATAACCGTTGGTAGAATAGCAGAAGTAGGGCATGCCATGGGAAAGTACATGATTTTGCTTCAGGCTGTCCCTGCCTGTGCCCTCTCAAAATTATCTCATGCACCCTGTCTGGAATGTGCATGTGAGTCACTGCTCCCTAATCTAACTTGCAGTCAACCTGTTTTGACTCCTGAACTCTATGAAGAACGTGCCTGCTTTGAATTTTTTGAAAGCTTCACTCCATTTCTAGAGGTCTTCTTGTATTTTTCCACTTTGAAGAAAGAATTGCACTCCTGGTAAGGAGTATAACCAGTGGACACACAGTTTTGTCTTGAGCTCGTCTCTACCAGTACCTCAGCCTTGACCTCTCATGTCTGCTTTTGGCTGCCTGAGCCTTGGACCCCCAGTCAACAACCTCACTGCCTTCTTTATCTAGTCTTTGCAATATGGCCTGGTAGGAATCACAAATCCAGCACTAAACTCCACAGGCCAGAACTGCCAAAGTCGAGCAGTATTAACCCGCCTGAGCCAAAGATACTGCATTTTCTTCAGCTCCACACTAATGAAGAAATTTGTCAAATATTTATTCTGGAAGATAAATTAAAATCAAGTTAATAGGAAAGGAGAATGAATGATTGAATTCTGTTATTGCCTTTCTTGGCTCCTTATGTTACTGGAAAAAGCCATAAAACCTTATTTGTGCTGTTCATTTTCATATTTTCATGTTTACATTATAGCAGAAAGAAAAGTCAAGGCTGGCTCCAGATGAAACATCTCTGTCTGGAAAAGGAACACTTCGTCCCAAAGCCACAATTGGCACAGCCCTGCAAAGTGAACCTACACAACAAACTCAGGGCAAAAGTCAAATAAGAGAAGAGCTAAAAGGAGACAGAGCCCAACAGATGGAGGCTCTTTAACTTATTAAAGTGAAAAAGGTCCACAAAAGATATAGTCAATATCTGGTTTGCCAGTAATAGCAGGTTGGTCTCCAAAATCTTCCTCTGACATGATAATCAGTTCCCAGATACCATCATGCATGGCATTTCAAGAAGGAACCCCTGAGCAAATCATGGACTGACATGGATCACAAAAAAAAAAAAAAAAAAATACTCATGTGAAGTGGTTGGAGTTCACACTGCTTAAAGTTTAGCACTGGGAGCACTTACTCTCTTGTAAGATAGAAACAGGGAAGCATGGAGGTTACTATGTTTTCATGGGTATGTGTTTCTGCATTAAAAATAAAAGTATCAGAATAAGAAAGGAACAGAAATTTAAAAAACCAGACCAACTTGTAACCTGAAAATAATACCACAATAAATAGAATAAATTAGAGCCTGGAGCTAAGACTAGGCTGGGAAATTATCATAATCACATTCCATAAGAAAAATTATGACGGTCAGGAAGATCGTTCTAGTCAAGACATAAAGAAATTCAGTCAGGCCGGGCGCAGTGGCTCAAACCTGTAATCCCAGCACTTTGGGAGGCCGAGGTGGGTAGATGACCTGAGGTCAGAAGTTCAAGACCAGCCTGGTCAACATGCTGAAAACCCATCACTACTAAACATACAAAAATCAGCTGGGCATGGTGGCGGGCGCCTATAATCCCAGCTACTCAGGAGGATGAGGCAGGAGAATTGCTTGAACCCGGCAGGCGGAGGTTGCAGTGAGCCAAGATGGCGCCTTTGTGCTCCAGCCTGGGCAACAAGAGCAAAGAGCGAAACTTCGTCTCAAAAAAAAAAAAAAGAAATTCAGTCAATCTGGGCTTCACTTGTGTTCTTACTATGTGCAGGGCATTGTGTTGACACCACAGACTGATAGAAGAACTAGAAGGTCTGGTTCCTTCTAGTTTTATGCCAGGTCTGTGGTGTGCTGTAATTGGCTAAGACTCACTTGTGGGAACATATTGTCAAATATTCAGGAAATTCTTGAGCAGATTGCTAAACCATTGTTAGCTTGAAATTAGCCACGAAAGAATATTTACACCATGATCATGGACAAATGCTGCACATCAGGACTTTGTTTTCAGGGAGCCAGCTTAGCAACACACCACTGCCGTAAACATACATAGACCGTGCCTAAGGCTGCAGATGATAGACTTAGAAAGACTTGTGTATCAGCTTGAATGTTATTGGTGTATATAAATATTACTGATGTGTGTACATTTATTTTCCATCCTGAAACATTACTGAAGTTGTTTATCAGTTCCAGGAGCCTTTTCACAGAGTCTTTGGGGGGTTTTCTAGGTATGGAATTGTATCATCCTCAAAGAGAGATAGTTTGACTTCCTTACCTGTTGGGATACCTTTTATTTCTTTCTCTTGTCTGATGGCTCTGGCTAGCACTTCCAGTACTATGTTGAATAGGAGTAGTGACAGTGGGCATCCTTGTCTTTTTTCTGTTCTCAAGAGGAATGCTTCCAGCTTTTGTCCATTCAGTATGATGTTGGCTGTGGGTTTATCATAGATAGCTCTTACTATTTTGAAGTATGTTCCCTCAATGCCTAGTTTCTTGAAGGTTTTCTATCATGAAGAAATGTTTGATTTTAATGAAAGCTTTTCCCACATCTATTGAGATGATCATGTGGCTTTTGTTTTTAATTCTGTTTATGTGGTGAATCACATTTATGAATTTGCACATATTGAACCAACCTTGCATCCCAGGAATGAAGCCTACTTGATCATGGTGAATTAGCTTTTTGATGTGGTGTTGGATTCAATTAGCTAGTATTTTGTTGAGGATTTTTATGTCCATGTTTGTCAGGAATATTGACCTGTAGTTTTTTGTTGTTGTTGTTGTTGTTGTGTCTTTGCCAGGTTTTTCTATCAGGGTGATGCTGGCTTTGTAGAATTAGCTAGGGAGGAGTACCTCCTGTTTGATTTTTTGGAATAATTTCAGTAAACTGATACCAGATCTTCTTTGTACAGCTGGTAGAATTTGGCTGTGAATCCATGTGGTACGAAGCTTTCTTTGGTTGGTAGGTTTTTCATTAGTGGCTCAGTTTTGGTGCTCAATATTGGTCTAATCAGGATTTCGATTTCTTCCTGATTTAATCTTACGAGATTATCTGTTTCCAGGAATTTATCCATTTCCTCTAGATTTTCTAGTTTGTGTGTGTATAGGTGTTCATAATAGTTTAGAGGATCTTATGTATTTCTGTGGGTTTGATTATAATGTCACTCTTGTCATTTCTGATTATGTTTATTTAGATCTTCCCTCTCTTTTTCTCTGTCTCTCATGTTTGCGTTCATGCAATGTAGCTAAGTCTATCAATCTTGTTTATCCTTTCAATGAACCATATGATCATCTCAACAGATGCAGAAAAAGCTTCAACATAATCCAATATCCCTTCATGATAAAAAGCCTCAACAAACCAGGCATTGAATGAACATACCTCAAAATAATAAGAACCATCTATGACAAACCCACTGCCAGCATCTTACTGAATAGGCAAAGCTAGAAGCATTCCCCTTGAGAGCCAGAACAAGACCTATTCAACATAGTACTGGAAGTGATAGCCAGAGCAATCAGGCAAGAGAAAGATAAAAGACATCCAAATAGGAAAAGAAGAAGTCAAATATTCTGTCTTCAGGGGTGATATGATTCTATACCTAGAAAACTCTAAAGAGTCCACCAAAAGGTTTCAGCAACTAATAAACAACATCAGTAAAGTTTCAGGATACAAAATCAAAGTACAAAACTCAGTAGTATTTCTACACACCAATAACGTTCATGTTGAGAGCCAAATCCAGAATGCAATCGTATTTACAATCACCACACACAAAAAATACCTGGGAATACAACAAGCCAAGAAGGTGAAAGATCTCTATAAGGGGAACTACAAGACACTTTTGAAAGAAATAATAGATGACACAAACAAATGGAAAACCATTCAATTCCCAAGGATTGGAAGAATCAATATTTTTAAAATGGTCATACTGCCTGTGTTAGGCCATTCTTGCATGGCTATAAAGAAACACCCAAGACTGGGTAATTTATAAGAAAAGAGGTTTAACTGGCTCACAGTTCTGCAGGCTGTACAGGAAGCATAGAGGCATGGCATTGCTTGCTTCAGGAGAATTCAGGAAGCTTCCAATCATGGCAGAAAGCAAAGCGGAGCAGGCACATCATATGGTGAGAATGGGAGCAACAGCAAGAGAGATAGTGGGGGCAGGGAGGTGCCACACACTTTTAAATGACCAGATGTCACAAGAACTCACTCACTATAATGAAGACAGCACCAAGCCATGAGGGACCCACTGTGATCCAAACACTTTCTGCCAGGCCCTACCTTCAGCACTGGGGATTTCATTTCAACATGGGATTTGGGCAGGGACAATATCCAAACTGTATCACTGCCCAAAGCAATCTACATATTCAACACTATTCCTATCAAACTACCAATGACATTTTTCACAGAACTAGAAAAAACTGTTCTAAAATTCATATGGAGCCAACAACAAGCCCAAATAGCCAAAGCAAGCCTAGGCAAAAAGAACAAAGCTGGACGCATCACCTTACCCACCTTCAAACTATGCTTATAAGGTATAGTAATCAAAACAGCATAGTACTGGTACAAAAACAAATACATAGACCAATGGAAAAGAATAGAAAATCCAGAAATAAAGCCTCATATCTACAGCCATCTGATCTTCAACAAAGTCAACAAAAATAAACAATGGGGAAAAGATTCCCTATTTAATAAATGGTGCTGGGATAGCTGGCTAGCCATATGCAGAAGAATGAAACTAGTTTTCTAGCTTTCACCATATACAAAAATTAACACAAGATGGATTAAAGTTTTAAATATAAGACCTCAAACTATAAGAATCCCAGAAGAAAACCTAGGAAACACTATTCTGGACACTGGCCTTTGGGAAACAATTTATGACTGAGTCCTCAAAAGCAATTGTAACCAAAACAAAAATTGAGAAGTGGGACCTAATTAAATTAAAGAGCTCCTGCACAGCCAAAGAAACGATCAATAGAGTAAACAGACAACCTACAGAATGGGAGAAAATGTTTGCGAATTATGCATCCAATGAAAGTCAAATATCCAGAATCTATAAGGAACTTAAACAGTTGAACAAGCAAAAAACAACCCCATTAAAAAATGGGCAAAAGACACGAAGAGATACTTATCAAAAGAAGACATACAAGTGGCCAACAAACATATGAAAAAATGCTCAACATCACTAATCATTAGAGAAATGCACATCAAAACCACAATGAGCTACTATCTCACACCAGTCAGAATGACCATTATTAAAAAGTCAAAAAAACAACAGATGCTGGTGAGGCTGCAGGGAAAGGGGAATGCTTATACACTGTTGGTGGGAATGTAAATTAGTTCAGTCACTGTGGAAAGCCATTTGGAGATTTCTCAAAGAACTTAAGACAGAACCACCATTCAATGCAGCAATCCCATTATTGGGCATATATCCAAAAGAAAACAAATTTTTCTACCAAGAAGACATCCACCTACATGTTCATCACAGCACTATTTACAATAGCAAATGCATGGAATCAACCTAGGTGCTAATCGGTGGTAAACTAGATAAAGAAAATGTGGTTCATATACACCCTGGACTACTACATAGCCATAAAAAAGAAAGCATCATGTCCTTTGCAGCAACATGGATACAACTGGAGGACATTATCGTAAATGAATTAACATAGGCAAAGAAAATCAAATGTTACATATTCTCATTTACAAGTGGGAGCTAAATATTGGGTACTCATGGACATAAAGATGGCAACAATAGAAACTGGGGAGGAGGGAGAGAGGCATGGGTTGAAAAATTAACTATTGGATACTACTATGCCTAGTACCTGGGTGACAAGATCATCCATACCCCAAACCTCAGCATCACACAATATACCCAGGTAACCAACCTGCACATGTACCCTCTGAATCTAAAATAAGAGTTAAAAAAAAAGAAAGAACATAAGGAATGACACAAGAAAGGACACGGTGACCACTGTGAAGCCAGTCTCCAGGACAGGACAAAGACATTTGGTACCATGGGGAAGCTCCTGTTGAAAGCAAGACTCGAGGAAAGCGGGGAAAAAAAATCTGTGTTTTTTGCTAGCCAACCTTAATCACCATCCTCACCTCATCCCCAGCCAGGGCCATCCTATCAGCCTATTAGACTTCTAAGGAAAGGCAGAGAGGAGCACAAAGGAAAGAAGGGGTAGGTAGAAAAGCTGCTGAGGCATAGAATTCATTGACTTCTACAGATGGAAGGGCCTTGAAAATTACCCAACCCAACCCCTTTACTTATAGCTATGGGAATAGAGCCAAAGAGATAAAATGACACCAAGGTTATATAGCTAGTTAAGTGACACAGCCAAGGCTAGAAACTTGGTCTCACTCATTACCCCTACATGATGCTAGGTACTGTGTTGGTTCCTAACCTTGGCTCTTCTACTGCCACGCCAGTATAACTTACATACACATATGGGGAGGCAGCATGGAATTAAAGGAAGAACTGAAGCTGATTAATCCCTCCCTCCAAGCCAGCACATTGAGTATGGGTTGTTTCAGAAATAATTTGGCTTATTAATTCCAACTAGGAAGGGCCTGCCAACTTAGGAAAGGGATGGGGGCTGAAGAGCTGATCATGAAGATGCTGTGTATGTACCATCTGGTGTACATTGGAAAAAAGTGTCATTTGTCTTAAATTGAGTTCCAAGTCATAATTTCTTCACTCACAACCTTTACTCCCTAAGAGACTACCAGCAATGAGCTGGTGATTTCAATTCCTTCCAGATGGAAAAATGTTGATGTCATCCCAAACCTTGCCTCTGTGAGAGTCATTTTATTCTTCCCAGCATAATAGAGCAGCTGAAGCAGAGGTGTCAGAGTTGGAAGGAGTCCCTGAGACTAAACCGGCCCCTCTAGAGCCATTTCCTATCTGTCAAGGTTGCACTTCTCAGACTAAGGAGAGAAATTTGTGCTGTGGCTGCACTAGTGGCACCTTCTTGGGAAACAGAAGATTTGGTTCTGCACTTGCCAACCAATTCCTGTTATCAGCCTTTAACTTACATTATATTTTAAGCAGAGAGGTCCTTATTTAGACAAGCTAAATAAAACTTTTGTGAGAGAATGATTCCAGGCTGGTCCCCAGAGGGATGGATGGAATGTATAGCTTGATTGTTCCCCTGCCTCTCTGATTGCAGTGATCATTTCAACAGAAGCAGCAAGTCGACTTTTAGCAATGTGGACTTTCCATGGCAAGAGGATTACAGAGGTTTCCTTCAAAGGGTCGTTTTGGAGGCTAACGTTGGGGGAGAAGAATAACCTCAGATCAATTTTCAAGATTCTTACTTTGTGCCTAATAATTAACTGTATTGCTGAGATGACTCATCACCCATAGCTACATCCACCAAACAGATGGGTGACGCCACATAGCTGGGAGTAAAGTGAAGCTGTAGAGACTGAGAGCAAAACAAAACTGAAAACATTTACTACAAACTTACCCTCTGACCTCTCTGTCACACACCATACCTGGAGGACAGCAGCTCCATCTAGGTGAGACAGACTATTATATGATAGGTGAGCTTCATAACAACTCTACTGGGTTGGAGGGTGACCAACCATCCCAGTTTGCCCAGTACTGAGAGGGCCCCTGGGATGTCACATTTAACTTTAAAATCAGAATAGTCCTGCAACTTCATTTTCCCCTGCCTCCAATTTACTAATTAGGAATTTGAGACTCCAAGAAATCAAGAAACTCATTCAAGATCACATACGGTTTAATGGCAGATCTGAATTCATATCCTATTCCAACTTCAAAGGCAGGACTCTCCTTCCAATGCCTGTTGATATTTCTATGTAGTGACAGAGAAAGTGTGAAAATATTAAATAGATGAATGTTTACTTGTATTTCTCCAGACTAGGGGCCTATTTAACAAGAAAACAGTCTTAAAAACCCAGGCTTGGATGAGAAATGTTTCCTAAATTTCTTTGGGAAGGAAGCATAGAGAACTCAGATCATAAAGTATTTCTCATATTTTACAGAAGATACAACCCAATTGTGAAGACTAGACCATGAGTAGGGAAACCCTATATTCCAGTGTTCCAGTCCTGGTTTATTCCTGTTGTTCTGATGAAACATTACAACTGCTCCCTTTCACGCTCAAAAAAGTTCTAGTTTCGATGATAAATTATATCATCCCCAAGCCAAGAGGCTCACCATTTCATGGTAGAAGAAGAATGTGAGATTGGAAAGAAAAGAAAGCCCACTCTTTCTGACTGAGGAGTTTTGAGAAGAGACAAATGAGAGGAAAGCAAAAGTAGATGATATAGAAAGGAACCAGGCAATGGAATGCTGGAGTCAGCTTATACAGGCTAGCAAAGTCTCCTTTTAAATATTCACACATTTTTTAAGCAGAGTGCAAATATTGATACCCTGCTCAGAAATCAGAAAATGTTACAAACAAGGGCCTTTTCTCCCCCATAGATCGAGTGACCAGCACACTCTTGGTTCCAAAGCACTCTCTTTTCTCTTTCTCTCTTTCTCATTCTCTCTCTCTTTCTCTGTCTCTTTCTCATTCTCTCTTTCTTTCTGTCTGTCTCTCTCTCTCTCTCTCTCTCTCACACACACACACACATACACAGTCTATGACTAAAATGACAGGAGTGCTTTAGAAGTACCAAATTAAGTCAACTGAATTCCAAGGAGAGGAATCTTTTTTTTTTTTTTTTTTCAGATGGAGTCTCGCTTCGTCGCCCAGGCTGTAGTGCAGTGGTGCAATCTCAGCTCACCACAACCTCCGCCTCCCAGGTTCAAGCGATTCTCCTGCCTCAGCCTTCCGAGTAGCTGGGACTATAGGTGCACGCCACCACACCTGGCTAATTTTTTGTATTTTTAGTAGAGATGGGGTTTCACTATGTTGGCCAGGCTGGTCTGGAACTCCTGACCTCGTGATCCACCTACCTGGGCCTCCCAAAGTGCTGGTATTACAGGCATGAGCCATTGTGCCCAGCAACAGCAACCTTTATTCCAGCTTCTCATCTGGGCCTCTGGAAGGATGTTACCACCTAGATTAATGTGGGGTGTGTTACTTTCATGCAAACCTAGTTGTACAGTGTAGTTAAGCAGAGAAAGGCACACAAATTTATCTTTCCTAAGTCACTTTCAGTTGCCCATGGCATGTATAACTCAAATTTAGTTGATAACCTATCTGAAAAACTTGCCAAAGAGTGCCTGCCAACCTGAGGTGACTCTCAGCAGAGGGAACCACCTAGATCAAGACCAAATGTATAATAAGGTCTCAGCTCAATTCCAGAGGGGTTCACAGATGAGGCAAGAATGCCAGGGATGGTTACTGTCCCCGGTGGAGCCAAAAGGAACCTGAGCAAGTATTATGCTGGCCACTGACCTTAATGAATGCCTGCAAGGCCAGTGGTGACCAAGTGGACAAAGGGCATCTCTGTGAGTCCAGAAGAGCAGAGGGCACATAATAGTAAGCACTTAACAAATACGTGCTGTCCCTCAACTTATGTCTATTTTTCTTCCCGACTACTGGCCCTGGTGTCTTTGGGCCCAACATTAGATACAAAGCAGTAACCTCAAATAGACTGCTTAGCCAGCTTCCACGACTGTTTGAGATCTAACTCCTGCTAAAAATTCCCTGAGCCGAGATTACACCACTGCACTGCAGCCTGGATGACAGAGTGAGACTCTGTCTCAAAAAAAAAAAAAAGAAAGAAAAAATTCTCTTACTCTATATTTCTCATCTCTGATCAAACACTAACTGTGAAAAAAATTGGTACTAGGAGTGGTTTCAGTGAAGCAAAACTTTAAAGACGGGTTCTTGAATTGCCTCTGGGTTTTCTATAAGTGTTACCCTGATCTGATTAGATTTTACCTACTTCCAGGGGTAAACAACATACTGATAATTCACGGCATGCGGAGGCAAAACTTACGTACTCATCTTCCACCTGCAAACATAGGTAATCATCTGCCATTAGGAGTCAAGCCTTTTTTTTTTTTCCTGTAAGTTTTTGGGGAACAGGTGGTGTTTGGTTACATGAATAAATTCTTTAGTGGGGATTTCTGAGATTTTGGTGCACCCATCACCCAAGCAATGTAAACCATACCCAATGTGTAGTATTTTATCCTTCACCCCACTTTCACCCTTTCCCCCAAGTCCCCAAAATTTATTATGTCATTCTTATGCCTTTGCATCCTCATAGCTTAGCTCCCACTTATAAGTGAGAACATACAATGTTTGGTTTTCCATTCCTGGGTTACTTCACTTAGAATAGTGATTTCTTCCAGTACTGTTTTATAGTTTTCCTTGTAGAGGCCTTTCACCTCCTTGCTTAGGTTTTCTTTTTTCTTTTTGTAGCTATTGTAAAAGGGGTTGAGTTCTTGATTTGATTCTCAGCTTGGTCATTGTCGGTGTATAGCTATTGATTTGTGTACATTAATTTTGTATCCTGAAACTTTGCTGAATTCATTTATCAGTTCCTGGACCTTTTGGGGAGTCTTAGCGTTTTCCAGGTATACAATCATGTCATCAGCAAACAGAAAATTTGACTTTCTCTTTACCAATTTGGATGCCCTTTATTTATTTTTCTTGTCTGATTATTCTGGCTAGGTCTTCCAGTACTATGTTGAATAGAAGTAGTGAAAGAGGGCATCCTTGTCTTGTTCCAGTTCTCACGGGGGATGCTTTCAACTTTTCCCTATTCAGTGTAATGTTGGCTGTGGGTTTGTCATAGATGGCTTTTATGACCTTAAGGTATGTCCCTTCTATGTCGATTTTGCTGAGGGTTTTAATCACAAAGTGATGCTAGATCTTGTCAAATGCTTTTTCTGTGTCTATTGAGATGATCATATGATTTTTTGTTTTTAATTCTGTTTATGTAGTGTATCACATTTATTGACATGCAGATGTTAAACCATCTCTGCATCCCTGGTATGAAACCCACTTGATCATGGTGGATTATCTTTTTGATATGCTGTTGGATTCGGTTAGCTAGTATTTTGTTGAGGATTTTTGCATCTACATTCATCAGGGATATTGGTCTGTAGTTTTCTCCTTTTTTTGTTATGTTCTTTCCTGGTTTTTGGTATTAGGGTGATATTGACTTCATAAAATGATTTAGGGAGGAGTCTCTCTTTTTCTGTCTTGTGGAATAGTGTCAATAGGATTGGTACCAATTCTTCTTTGAATGTCTCATGGAACTCAGCTGTGAATCCATCTGGTCCTGGACTTTTTTTGTTGGCAATGTTTTTGTTACATTTCAATGTTGCTGCATGTTATTGGTCTGTTTAAAGTTTCTATTTCTTCCTGTTTTAATCTAGGAGGGTTGTATATTTCCAGGAATTTATCTATCTCCTGTAGGTTTTCTAATTTATGTGAGTAAAGGTGTTCATGGTAGCCTTGAATGATCTTTTGTGTTTCTTAAGACTGCTCCCTAAATAATTTATGAAGTCAATATCACCCTAATACCAAATGTAATATGTCCCATTTCATTTCTAATTGAGGTTATTTAGATCTTCTCTCTTCTTTTCTTGGTTAATCTCGCTAATAAATAATAAATAAATAATAAACCTTATTTATCTTTTAAAAGAACCAGCTTTTTGATTCATTTATCTTTCATATTGTTTTGTTTGTTTGTTTGTTTCAATTTCATTTAGTTCTGCTCTGATATTGGTTATTTCTTTTCTTCTGCTGGGTTTGGGTTTGGTTTGCTCTTGTTTCTCTAACTCCTTGAGATGTGACCTTAGATTGTCTATTTGTGCTCCTTCAGACTTTTTGATGTAGGCATTTAATGCTATAAACTTTCCTCTTAGTACCACCTTTGCTGTATCCCGGAGGTTTTCATAGGTTGTGTCACTATTATCATTGAGTTCAAAGAATTTCTAAATTTCCTTCTTGATTTCATTGTTGTCCCAAGGATCATTCAGGAGCAGGTTATTTAATTTCCATGTATTTGCATGGTTTTGAGGCTTCCTTTTGGAGTTGATTTTCAATTTTATTCCCCTGTGGTCTGAGAGAGTACTTGCTATAATTTTGATTTTCTTAAATTCGTTGAGTCTTGTTTTGTGGCCTATTATATGGTCTATCTTAGAGAAAGTTCCACGTGCTGATGCATAGAATGTATATTCTGCGGTTGTTGGCAGAACGTTCTGTAAATATCTGTTAAGTTCATTTGTTCTGATGATGCAAAAGTAGTAATGGGAAAGCTGCTAGTGCATTAGCCAGCACATTAGTCTTCACTGCCACACACAATAAAAAGAGAAATGCAAGTGACCCTTAAGAATATATTTGATGAAACAGTAAAAACATTATTATTTGTATTCAATTTCAATGCTTGAAGGCATGTCTTTTTAATATTCTGTGTAGTGAAATGGAAAGTACACATAAAGCACTTCTGCTATACACAAAAATACAATGATCATCTTAAGAAAAGGCACATCTGTGATTACTTGAGTTGTGAGCTGAACTAGCCAGTATTGTTTTTCATGGAATACCATATTTTGCTTGAAAGAATGACTGACAGACAAAATATAACCATTTTCTTAAAAATAAAGTGGGCCTGTCACTTCAATTAAAACAACTGGCATCATTTGTTGATGATAAAAATTTGAACTTTCAAGTAAAAATGAGAGTTATGGAAAACTTGTATCTGCCACTATAAGATATGACAACTTTTAAATTTCTGATATTAACAATTGTGACTTTTAGTCTTGTAGAATGAAATGTGTCAACATTTGAAAATCTGCATAATTCAGTGACAAATATTTTGCAAATGACCAGTGCATGCTATTACTAAATCATAAAAGATCCATTCAAATTTCAATATAATGGACTTTAACAGTATAAACAAATTTTTGCTGATATAGTTTCAATTTCACATTGTAGTTAACCATTAAGAAAGTATATTTACCAAATTTTGGTATAGTATCAAAGAAAAATTTTTAAACTTCTCAGTTTTAATTTCTAAGATGGTAAATAATAATAGATGTAATTCAAATAAATAAAAAGTCTTTGGAGTTCTTAATAATTTTTAAGAAAGCAAAGGAGTCTGAGACCAAAAAGTTCACAACAGGCTACCACAGAGGAAGGTGCCCAAAGGCTTAAGGAGTTCTAAATGCTAGAGTACGTTTACCTTGTAAGACCTTCCCCTTCAACTACATCCCCTAAGAGAGTCCAGAGGACACTCCTTTTACCAAGTCTATAAGAAATATTTTCAAAAAGGGAGCTCCAGCATCCTTGATCTTTTCTTTGTTGCTATCTAACTGGTCCCTTGAATTCAGTGGGAATGATTGGATCCAGGGGTGGCAGGCTTTATCACCAGAAACAAGGTGGATGTGGTTACTGTAATGGGCAAAGCAATAAACAGCCAAAGCAATAAACAGAATGGTTTAAATCTCAGAGACCACTGGTGTTGGCCAGTTAATTTTAGTGTCTGTAGCACTGAATAGATGGACAGTCTAGTGAAGTTTTACTTAATTTGGAAAAGCAGAAAAGTTCCAGGTTTGCTCAATGGATGTCTGACTTGAATCACCATAATAGAAACTTGTGACCTCTTAACCAATTCCTTTGGTTCACAGATCCGGAGCCCTTTAAAAGAAGAGGTGGCTGAGTCCTCTTGAGGAAGTCCTCTTTAGGCAGCCAAAAATTGTATGCAGTTGTCCCTAGGTATCCTCAAAAGATTGGTTTTAGGGCCAGGCGTGGTGGTTCACACCTGTAATCCCAGCACTTTGGGAGGCCAAGACAGGTGGATCACCTGAGGTCAGGAGTTCGAGACCAGCCTGGCCAACTTGATGAAACCCCCTCTCTACTAAAAATACAAAAAAAAATTAGCCAGGCATGGTGGCAGGCACCTGTAATCCCAGCTACTTGGGAGGCTGAGGCAGGAGAATTGCTTGAACCTGGGAGACAGAGGTTGCAGTGAGCCGAGATCACATCATTGCACTCCAGCTTGGGTGGCAGAGTGAGACTCTGTCTCAAAAAAACAGATTGGTTTTAGGATGACCCCAACCCCCGCCTCATGCCACCACACACAACCCAACATATACCAAAATCCACAGATGCTCTAGTTCCTTTTATAAAATGGTCTAGTATTTTTATATAACTTATGCACATCCTCTCATATACTTTAAATCATCTTCAGATACCTATAATACCTAATACAATGTAAGTGCTATGTACTTAGTTGTTACACTGTATTGTTTTTTATTTGTATTTTTTTCAAATATTTTTTATCTGTGGTTAGTTGAATCCATGGATGCAAAACCCGTGGTTGCAGAGCATACAATACAGAGGGTCTACTAGATCTAAATCGTCTTCCTAGCCTTCCCTTCCTAACAAGAGGCTTATATCCGAGCTCCCTAGGGGCTTGAAACTGTTCTAATTGACCATGGTTTTTCCATTTAAATCTTACCTGTCAAGCTAGTCATCATCTGGTGAAAGACCCCACTTGGGCCAAGAAGTTGAGCACAAGTCCCCACAAACACAGGGCCCTGCAGCATGGACCTGGTGTCCACAGGATTCATACAAACTCACCTTCCCCCATAAGGGGAAGTGTCCCATCTTGTCTATGCCTCGTCTCCTCTACATCTCCCATCTTTATTTATCAGAGTTCTCTTTTGCTTCTGGCCCATGTTTGCCTTCAAGGTTTTTGTCTATCAACTCAGCTAGTGGTAGGTCTGTTCTACATGAGGGGAGTCTTCTAAATTTGGAATTGAGAAGATACAGGCAAGATACCAATGTCATGTTACTATTAGCCACAGCTTTACCTCCCATCCCAAAGTAAAGCTATGTCCTAAGAATGTTCCAAGTCATGTGGGACTTAGCCCTGCCATAGTTGTTTTCTTCTTCTTTTGATACAGGGTTTTGCTCTGTCACCCAGGCTGGAGTGCAGTGGCATGATCATAGCCCACTATAACCTCAAACTCCTGGGCTCAAGCGATCCTCTTGCCTTAGCCTCCCAGAGTGTTGAGATTACAGGCATGAGCCACTGCACTTGCCTGCTGTAGTCTTCTTAAAGGCCTGGCAGCACATATTACTCATGAAAAAGTTGGTTCATAGAAGAAGCTCAGGAAATGTGTGCTGAATGAATGGACGAATGTTCATTATCAACCTTGTTGGATGTGAGTGTTGAGAGCAGTGCCCAGAGCACCTGAACACTACATCTTAGTAGCTGGAAAACCCCAGCTCCATACTTCATATAAGAATGTATAGTCCATGTGATTCTAGAACAAGCTAAAAGGCATATGCCAGATATACTACTAAGCTAGATAATGACAGGAAAGTTAAATTTCAGCTCCACCCACTGGAGCCCTCAGGTCAGACTTCTGTAATGTGAATTTTCTATGTAGCTGAGGATGTCCCTTTCAGGATCAAACATTTTCATTGGAGGCTTTTGAAATTATATATTTTTTCATTTTTATATATATTTCATATTTTTCATTTTCTATATGTAGCAAGTGAAAATGTTAATATACATAATAAAAATATATAGAGAGAGTATATACTTCAATCTGCCTTCTTAACCAGAGCCTGTTATACATAATTCACTGCGTTTTGAACATCAAATTATATACTAAATATTGAATGTAGTTTTTGATGTAGTAATCCAGTTTCTGTGACAATTTGATATGTCTACAAGTTAGTCAAGAATAAGGCTGTGTCTCAAAGAATTATTCCAAAGCTAGGTACTGGGGTGAGCTAAAGTTCCCCTAATGTTCTTTATCTTCAGGGGGACAGTTCAAGAACTATGTCTGTTGTGTGCCTAATTCACGTCAGGCGCTGTGCGAGGGGCAGGGTAAAAAGGAAGAATAAGACTCTGTGAGGACAGAAAGAGCTCAGTCCTCACAGAAGTTCCTTTAGGAGACAGGATGAGAAGTCCTGGGAGCCTTTTTTTCTACAATTTGTCCTCTACCTCCTCCAAATTGAATTGTGACCAAATATCTTTTCCAAGGTTCTTTTTCAAACAGTTGCTCTGTTTTTCTTAGAGAAAAAGTTTTTGTGGTGGTGGCAGCAGCAGCGGCAGCAGCGGCAGCAGCAGCAACTCGATGTGTTGAATACTTATGCTAATCAGTGATCTAGCACCAGTTTACTGATTCTTTGGTCTGATTATTTATTATTTATAGAATGTGGTAAATGCAAATGGCATTTTGCAAAGCATGGAACTCTGAAAATGAAACCCCAGCCCCAAGGCGTTGACTGTCAGATTTAGACATAAACAAAACACTGAATAAACAGTGAGACATCTAGTTGAGTTGATGTGGCTGGAAAGGAGGAAAACACTGGGAGACCGAGAAAAAGAAGTGGACATTACGGAGGGATTTCAAGGAGGAAAAGGAACATGAAAAATTGAGCGATTTCAAGAGGAATACAGGGAAGGTTACCAAACCAAGGGGTTAAAAAGGAAACAAAAGGAGCATTGAGGAGAAACTCCCAAGAAAAGAAAGAACTCAATGAGATTTTTTTTCTGCTTGTGCCTTTTGGTGGGAGAGGTGAGAGGCAGGGATGTCCGAGGGGAGAAAACCTTAATGATCAGAGGCAGGGGTGACAAGGTCATGGACTAGTGTTTCATTTCTGGAGAGGAAGAGAAAAAGATGACAATTGGACATATGAGAAGACTTGTTTCTCTATCTGAAAGTCTGAATAAGAAGAGAGGAAAGAATGGAGAGCTCAGATGATGAGGTTTTTAACATTGGTCAAAAGAGCTGTCAGCTGGGCCTTCTGCACCTGATTTTGACTTTTTAGTTTCAGGGTTTTCCTCTTATTGATTCATCTGGAGAGGATCTTAGTCTTTTTTTCTTTTTCTTTTTTCTTTTTTTTTTTTTTTTTTTTTTGAGGCGGAGTCTTTCTCTGTCGCCCAGGCTGGAGTGCAGGGGCAGGGTCTCAGCTCACTGCAAACTCCGCCTCCCAGGTTCAAGCAATTCTCCTGCCTCAGCCTCCCAAGTAGCTGGGATTATAGGCACCTGGCACCAGGCCGGCTAATTTTTGTATTTGTAGTAGAGATGGAGTTTCACCATGTTGGCCAGGCTTGTCTCGAACTCTTGGCCTCAAGTGATCCGCCCACCTCAGCCTCCCAAAGTACTAGAATTATAGGCATGAGCCACCAAGCCTGGCCAGGATCATACTCTTAATATCTTACTCAAACTAGTAAAATTCACAAAAGGCTGTTATATAAACAGGAATTTAGATGTATTGATTTAGGGTGGGTGAGAAAGGTTACAAGTAACTGGGAAAAAAAGATAAAGATAAACCATGCAAATAGCATAAGAGAATAGATAAGAGTATTTCTAGAGATAAAGAGGGACATTTCATAATAATAAGGGAGTCTATTCATCAGTAAGACATAAAATTATAAGTGAGTATGTATCTAATAACAGAGCTTCAAAATACATAAAGCAAACTTGGACAGAATTAAAGGGAGAAATAAGAACGTCTACAGTCACAGTGGGAGATTTTTTTTTTATATGCATATATGCTATAGGTTTTTATTAACAATTGTGTAGTATGTTATAAACTACCTCTGGGTATTTTGGAGTGCTAACAGAATACGTAATATAACATCACTAGTGTAAATAATTTTATCAGAGTAAATTCTGCTAGCAAAAAGGCCTTACAATTATAAATACTTTAGTTATGAAATTCCATTTATATATCATATTTAGGAGACACCGTTAGTCAATATTCAAAATCAATCAACAAATTCATATAGCTGTTTTAATGATACATACAGACTGACAGTGAATACACGGAAAGATATTTCATGCAATTAGAAACTAAAAGAGAAGTCACGGAGAGCTATACACCTATCACAGAAGATAGACTTTAAGTCAAAAACTGTAAACTGATATAAAGAAGGTCATCATATCATGATGAAGAGGTCAGTTCATTAAAAAAATAACAATTGTAAATATATATGCACCCAATATCACAACTTCTAAATATATAATTTTATATATAATATTATATATAATATATGTAATATATATTACATATAATATTATATATAATATATGTAATATATATTATATATATTATTATATGTAATATATATAATATATATTATATATAATATTTTTATATATATTATATATAAGTATATATAATATATATACTTATAGATTTATATATATTACATATATACTTCTATATATAATATTACATATATACTAATATATATATAATATTATATATATACTAATATAATATTATATATATACTAATATATGTAATATTATATATATACTAATATATATAATATTAGTAGACCTGAGGGGGAGATAGACTGTATTACAATAATAGTAAGGGACTTAGATACCCTACTTTCAGCAATGGATAGATTATCCAGACAGAATATCAGTAAGAAAATGTCAGATTTAAACTACACTTTAGACCAAATAGACCTAATGGACATATGTGGAATATTTCATCCAACAGCAAAGTAATACACATTTTTCTCAAACAAACACAAGACATTCTTCAGGATAGATTATATGTTAGGCCACAAAATAAGTCTTAATATATTTCGAAAGATTGAAATAAAAATGTGAATGCAGATGTCTTTTGACAGATCAATTTCATTCCTCTAGGGTACATACCCAGAAGTGGTACTGCTGGATCATACGGTAATACTATTTTTAGTTTTTGAGGAACCTTCATATTATTTCCCAAAATGGCTGTACCAACTTAAATTCCCACCAATGATGTTTAAGAATTCCCTTTTCTCTTGGGAACGTATATACACTGCTGGTGGGAATATAAATTAGTTCAGCCATTGTGAAAAGTAGTTTGATAATTTCTTTTTTCTTTTTCTTTTTCTTTTTTTTTTTTTTGAGACAGAGTTTTGCTTTTGTCACCCAGGCTGGAGTGCAGCAGTGCGATCCTGGCTCACTGCAACCTCCGCCTCCTAGGTTCATGTGATTCTCCGGCCTCAGCCTCTCGAGTAGCTGGGATTACAGACGTCCACCACCACGCCCAGCTAATTTTTGTATTTTTAGTAAAGATGGAGTTTCACCATGTTGACCAGGATGGTTTCGAACTCCTGACCTCAGGTGATCTGCCCTCCTCAGCCTCCCAATGTGCTGGGATTACAGGCGTGAGCCACCACACCCGGCCTGATAATTTCTTAAAGAAATTAAAACAGAACTACCATTTGACCCAGTAATCCCATTACCAGGTTTATATCCAAAGGAATATATATTGTTCTGGCATAAAGACACAGGCACGTGTATGTTCATCGCAGCACTATTCACAATAACAAAGACATAGAATCAGTCTAAATGCCCATCAATGGTAGACTGGATAGAGAAAATGTACATATACACTATGGAATACTGCACAGCCATAAAAAAAAGAACAATATCATGTCCTTTGCAGCAACATGAATGGAGCTGAAGCCATTATCCTAAGTGATGTAATGCAGGAACAGAAAACCAAATACCACATACTCTCATTCATAAGTAGGAGATAAATATTGAGAACACATGGACACAAAGGGGAGAACAACAGACACTGGGGCCTCCTTGAGGGTGGAGGGTGGGAGAAGAGTGAGGACAGAAAAGCTACGATGCTTATTTTTTTTTCTTTTTTTTCTTTTTGTTAGTATATGTGCTGCTGAAGTGAGCACTTTTTTTTTTTTTTTTTTTTTGAGACGGAGTCTCGCTCTGTTGCTGAGGCTGGAGTGCAATGGCACAATCTCGGCTCACTGGAACCTGCGCCTCCTGGGTTCAAGTGATTCTCCTGCTTCAGCCTCTTAAGCAGCTGGGATTACAGGAGCACGCCACCACGCCCAGCTAATGTTTGTATTTTTTAGTAGAGACGAGGTTTCACCATGTTGGTCAGGCTAGTCTTGAACTCCTGAACTCAGGTGATCCACTCGCCGCGGCCTGCCAAAGTGCTGGGATTACAGACTCGAGCCACTGCGTCTGGCCAGTACTATGCTTATTATCTCTGTGATGAAATAATCTTTTACACCAAACCCTCATGACATGCAATTTATCTATATAACAAATTTGCACATGTACCCCTGAACATAAAATAAAAATTAAAAAAAAAAAAAGAATTATCTCTTCTCCATATGCTTGCCAGCACTTGTAATGGTTTGTCTTTTTTTTTTTTTTTTTTGAGACGGAGTCTCACTCTATTGCCCAGGCTGGAGTGCAGTGGCGCAATCTCGGCCCACTGCAAGCTCTGCCTCCCAGGTTCACGCCATTCTCCTGCCCCAGCCTCCCAAGTAGCTGGGACTACAGGAGCCTGCCACTACACCAGGCTAATTTTGTATATTTTTAGTAGACACAAGGTTTCACTGCGTTAGCCAGGATGGTCTCAATCTCCTGACCTCGTGATCCACCCACCTTGGCCTCCCAAAGTGCTGGGATTACAGGCATGAGCCACCTTGCCTGGCCTGTCACAGTGGGAGATTTTAACACTTCTCTCAGCAATTGATAGAACTAGATAAAAATTAGTAAGACATAAATGATTTGAACAGCACTATTAATCACCTTGGCCTAATTAATATATTAGAACACCTTGGCCTGGATGTGGTGGCTCACCCCTGTAATACCAACATGTTGGGAGGCCAAGGTGGGAGGACCACTTGAAGCAAGGAGTTCAAGACCAGCCTGGGCAACATAGCAAGACCCTGTCCCTACAAAATTTTTTTTGATTAGCTGGGCGTGGTGGTATGCACTTGTAGTCCTAACTACTCGGGAGGCTGAGGCAGTAGGATTGCTTAAGCCCAGGAGTTGGAGCTTGCAGTGAGCTGTGATTATGCCATTGCATTCCCTCCTGGGCAACAGAGCAAGACCTCATCTCTTAAAAAATAAAAAAAGTTACAATGTGCACCTTTTAAAGTTTGCACAATAAGGAGACGAGAGAGAGGAAAGATTGAACATTAAGATAAACATAAGCTGTTGGAAATTTTGTTGAAAGACATGTTCCATGACATTGATCTTACAGAAAGGTGTGTGGATTTCAACCTAGTCATGATGGATTCTATACCTCATTCTATCGTGCTGAGTTACCATGCACTAGAGATTTAATTTCTCTAAACCCGTTTCTCTATCTGAAAGATGAGAGTAATAACAAATGCCACTCACCACTATCCTGAAGCTTAATTAATGTTCGTAAATGCTTTCAGAAATTTGGAAGGGCAAGATTTTTATGAATACAACACATTATTTAGAAAAGCAAAAGAACACGATCAGAGAAGACTTGGATTGTTTCCCTCTACATAGCCTTTTAATGAGATTCCTCTTTTTGTCTTATAAGGGAAGAAAACCAAATCAGGAGATGACTAATCTCACTGGCTAATCTCTTCCCTTAATGTTCTCTGGACACACAATCTCTCCTAAAGGAGCATGTTGGAATTTTGTCGATCAGATTTCCACATCAGTATAAATACATTCTTTCCTAGAAATATAATAGTGAAACAAGAAGGCTGTGGTTTTTTGAGGAGCTGGCTCTGGGCCCAACAGGCAGATGTTCTTGATCTTTTGCTCTACCTTGGATCTTGTGCAAATCACAGTGCTGTTCAACTTCCTTCCTCATCTGTATAATTGGAATAAATGTGCCACTGTCTGGGAGGTCAAGTGAAAATTAATTAGCTGTGTTTCTTTTTTTTTTTTTTTTTTGAGACAGAATCTCGCTCTGTCGTCCAGGCTGGAGTACAGTGGCGTGATCTCAGCTCACTGCAACCTCCACCTCCCTGGTTCAAGCAAATCCTCCACCTCAGCCTCCGAAGTAGCTGGGATTACAGGCGCACACCACCATGCCTGGCTAATTTTTTTGTATTTTTAGTAGAGTCGGGGTTTCACCATGTTGGCCAGACTGGTCTCGAACTCCTGACCTCAGGCAATCCACCCGCCTCAGCCTCCCAAAGTGCTGGGATTACAGGCGTGAGCCACCACGCCCGGCTGCTGTGTTTTATTTAAGTTCTTCTCCATTGATATTTCAGCACTTAAGTTCTTCCCCATTGATATTTCAGCACTTATGGCCAGCTAATTTTTTTGTATTTTTAGTAGAGTCAGGGTTTCACTATGTTGGCCAGACTGGTCCCGAACTCCTGACTTCACGCAATCCACCCTCCTCGGCCTCCCAAAGTTCTGGGATTACAGGTGTGAGGCACCGCGCCCGGCCACTGTGTTTTATTTAAGTTTTTCTCTATTGATATTTCAGCACTCTCTGCAGTCCTTAGTCGGAACAACACTTCTAGACATTACTTCAATCCCACCACCACGAAATTCTTAATGGAAATGTATATGAAAGAATCTGGGAAGTTTACTAATCATTAAAGATTGAGGTTTCTGTGAATTTCCTAAGATTAGATTTTTAAAAAGGCACAAGAAATCTTTGCCAAATCTATTGACCCCTTTCAATTATGCATTTCATTAAGAACACCAAAATATAAGAGTCTTTTTCCTTCCTCTCTGATTTATCTCTTTGTCGCTGTTTCTCTCTGAATCTCTCTGGGTTTCACTCTTTTTCACTCTTTCTCTACTCTGTTTCTCTTTTCCCTAGGATCTAGTGGACATGTGAAAATGAGTTTAGCTGAGGTGTAATAGCAAAGTTAGCCACCTTGCAGCCTCACTGGCAAATAAAATTCTATTAAACACAACTGTCATCAAACTCATTAGTGCCTCCTCCCCTTGCCTTCTTGCCATTGGGTTGCTAACAAGTTACAATGTTTTTCTCTCTCCTCTCCAGTCCCCCTTGTTTCAAGTTTTGTTCTCTCCTTCTTTCTGCACCGCCTGCCCTGTTGGAGATGCAGGGGCTGCCCCTGTGGCCACCATTGCCACCACCCCCCAGCAGACAGAAAGGCTAAAATGTCAAAAGATGCGTCGGTTGCCTCTGACAAAAGTGCAGATCAGATCTGAAAGGGGATAAATATGATAGGGGGCCCAATAATAACAGTGCGCACTTGTTAACTACACAAATCCAGCAGGAGCTGGGGGCAGGGAGGGCGGGCATGGTGGAGAATAGAAGCTGCCTGGGCAGGAGCCCCTTGGGGGAAAGTGAAGGGGGGGTCCTCCAGCAGCCACCATCAATTATATGGGCTGGTTTTGTTTTGTTTTGTGAGGTCTGAACTGAGGCTCAGCTGATGGGGCATGGGGGTGTGGAGGGGGTGAATAAGGGATTTTACCCAAACCAGTGACTCTGAATGGAGGTCTCGGGCTCAGTTGAGGGGGCCTCAGCAGTGAGAGCTTGAAAAGAGGGCCTTTGGGTTATGCAAGGGAAAGGGAAGGTGGGGCGAGGTGGGGGCTGGGGGACATTTGAGGTGGGAGGGGTAGGGGGAAGGAGGAGAATAGCACAATAATGGGAAAAAGGAGGCTAGCTTCTGAGGTCTCATTTCTCACAATGAGTCCCATGTGGTTCTCTTTATCTCAGCCTTTCAGCAGTCAATAGAGGGAGCCTTTTTATTTTCAACTCTAACTATACAGCCACGCTACTCCCCCAACACACACACACACACACACACACACACACCCCTACCAGTGTGGGACAGTGAGCAAGACATTGGAAATGTGTGAAAAATTATTTCCCCTGCACAGGTTTGCTGGATTTTCTATCCTCCTGCCAGACCCGTACTTATGGGACATTCACTCCTCCACCACTGCTCTCTGCCTCTCTTGCCCCAGCTTCGCCCCCTAGACTTGATTCCCTCCTCCTCTATTATACACCCCTCCCCCTCTCCTCCGTGGATGCCTCAGAAACTCCAGAGAGGTTGAAGGGAGAGGAGGTTCTTGACTCTTTAGAAAGTCATGAGTCATATGATGACAGGTAAAGCAGAGATGGATGATGGAGTGATGTTGATTTGCAACCCATAAAAAAGCAAAAATAAAAGATCAAAGCAAACCCCAGCTTGAACTTTAGACTGTTTTAATGCATAGAAAAGAACAAACATATTTTTTGTGTGTGGTGGACTTCTCTGAAATGTTAAGTCCCCAATTGGACAAATCCCTTTCAATTTGTTCCTAAGGCTATGACTGAAGCAGCCACAGGCTCTGAATTTACGCAGCTTGATAGAAAATAATTCGTCTATTTTTCAAACAATATTGTTATATATTCTCATAGGGTGCCTGAGTTTGAATAGGCACAGCGTTCTTAACCAGGGGTGGAAGCTTTTAGAAACAGATTCCAGGCCTCATCTCCCCAAGATTCTGCTTCAGCAGCTGTGAATGGGGCAGTGTGTGTGTGTGTGTGTGTGTGTGTGTGTGTGTGTGTGTGTCAGAGAAAGAGAGAGACAGAGATTGATCTTGATGTACAGTGCCATTTGAAAATCTCAAAACTAAGTAAGTTGTTCCCCTTCAGCTACATCAGGGGAGTATTCATCAAATAACAGTCACTAGTTGTGCTGGGAAAATAGTTGATTAATTGAGCCAAACCTATCTCTGCTACCAAGCATTGTAGCTGGCTGGAAAAAAAGAAAGGAAAAAATAATCATGTCCATCATCAAGAAATGAAGATAAGGGGGAAGGTAAGAATAAATGAAAATAACAATAACCTCAAGTAATTGTTTAGTACCAGGCATTTTTTTCTACAAGAACGATTACCCCATTGGAAGCGGGAATGAGACTCAGTTGTCTTAAGCAACTTGCTCAAGGTCACACTCCCAATAAATGGCAGAGCCAGGATTCCTTCCTAGGCTTGAATGATCTGTGCAGCATGCTCTGAACTAGGCGGAGACCCCAGGAATGGGAATAGGAGTGAGACAGCAATCCAGAAACAGACTCTCCCATGGCAATAGGAAGGCTCCCGAGGGTTGCTCATGCACTCAACATCAATGAGCTGTGGGGCAGCTCCTGGCTATTGGCTTCTCATCAAGGACTCCAAACCTCTCCTCACCTCTTAAAAATCTTCTTGTCTCTTCCTCCTGATCCAGCTTGCTCTGCTAAGCAAAGTACCCCACACCAGGCATAGAAAGAAAATGGATATTGCCTTCATATTTTCTCTGAGCAGGGAGATGTATAGCTTTTAGGTCTCTCACATGATAAGAAAATCACAGTTGCCCTCTTTTTGGCTCCATTTCCAGTCTCTTGAAGGTGCAGCTGTGTGGCTTGGCCATGAGGATCGGAGAGGATATAAAGAGGGCAGGAGAGGGGACGACTCCCATTTTGCCACCCTGGCAGCTCTCAACCGGCTCTGCTCCAGCCAACTCTTCACAGTACTTAAAGTCCTTTTTCAACGCCACGAAGTGATGCTCTCACCGGGTTCAGATGAGCTCATCTCCTCTCTAACTACACTAAAGTGCCTCGAGGGCTGGAACACTGCCTCATGCTTCTCCATCCCTGACATGCTCAAGCCCAATGCTGATACAGTGCTCAGTAAATTATTGTCGTTTGGTTGATTTGCAACAAGTGCTTTTTAAATTGGAATGCTCAGGGTTGAAATAGTCCCTCAGTTGTTCCAGATCACCATTTTTTTTTTTTTTTTTTTAAGACGGAGTCTTGCTCTGTCGCCCAGGCTGGAGTGCAGTGGCGCGATCTCCGCTCACTGCAAGCTCTGCCTCCCGGGTTCACGCCATTCTCCTGCCTCAGCCTCCTGAGTAGCTGGGACTACAGGCACCCGCCACCGCGCCTGGCTAATTTTTTTTGGATTTTTAGTAGAGACGGGGTTTCACCGTGGTCTCGATCTCCTGACCTCGCCGGATCACCATTCTTAATTATCCTCCTCTTGCTGGTGTGCTACAGTTTCTGGATTCCCCCAGTCTAGATATATTAACCTCATGTGGCCTCACTGGACAGCCTCTTTGAGGCTGCCTTCATCAACACCTGTTACTCTGTTGCCCACTTCATTTTCCCCAGTCTGTTGTGTTGGCTCGACATCCCTGAGTCTTGCCCACTGTCTGCTGTCTTATTCCTGTGTTTGTTCTGACTTGACAAATTACTCTCATCTCAACTACTGTGTAGCAATACTTTTTATTCAACTTTTACCAATTTCCTAATACCATGGTCAGTGCAAATATTCTCCATTCTTTGGCTTTACCTCAAGTTTCCATCCTATTTTTTTTCTCTTTCCTAAAGAGAAGTCCATACATTCTAACTCTGTTATGACTTGCTTGCTCCTTAATCTCTTGTCATTTGGTTTCCACTCTTCATGCTGTGTTGTTCCCACTGGGAAAGGCACCATAGACTTGAAGAGTCTGTCCTTGATCTTGTCTTGCATGGTTTCTCTGCAGCCTTTGGTGCTGTGGACCACTGCCTGGTCCTGACACTCCTTCTTGCTTTTGCTGCCTTAATGCTCCATGTGTCTGTTTCTTCTGCTACTGCTATTTCTCCATCCAGTCCTTTCTGAGATTCAGTCTCTGCTTGGTTTTCCTTAGAGGCAATTTTCACTCCCATGACTTCAATTATGGTCACCTCTATGCCAGGTCACACTTCCAGTTGTCTACTGGATTTTTCTACTTGTCCATCCTACTATTATTAAAACTTGAGATATCTCAAACTGGATTTATTCCCCCTTCCAAAACTGCTTATTTTCTTCTACTAACTTCAAGGCTGAAGGTTTCTGCCCATCCATTGATTGTAATCTTCCATCAGTCATTAAAGTACATGATTCCTTCAGATCTATTCTCTATCCCATCTATTTAGTTTCTGCCACCACCCTAATTCTAACCCTTTTGTCACATGTATAAACTATTGAAATTAATCTGTTAAAATACTTTTGCAAAAATGTACTCTTCTACTCAAAACATCCAGTAGTTCCCCATTATTTACAGAATCAAATCCAACCTTCTTCACCTAAGGTTCAAGACCTTCCTTAATCTAATCCCAACTTTGTTGTTCCCACCATTTCTTCCTCTATTATATTTGCCTTAAAGAAATAAATCAGTTTAGTGAAACTGTTCTGCTCATAAGATCCCAAACACTTTATATGCACACAGTTGTTCATGTCCTTTCACCTACCTGCTACATCCATCCCTCATATTCCCATCTCTTCTGGCCTAACCTTCCTTCAAACCACCTTTCAAAAAAAGCTTCTTTGACCATCTCAATCTAAATTAACCTCTTCCTCCCATAAACTCCCTTTGACTCCATTAAGCTACTGACAGTTTATGAAATTATGTAAATTCCAGTTTATATGTTAAATGATTGCTTAATTTTTCTTACATTATCTTTCTAACTAGATTGTTTGCTTCTTCTGGATTTGATCCCCCAGCTGGCACCTGGCTCAGACTTAATTAATGCTGCCTGTTCTTGTCTGAGTTTCCATGAACTTATAAATACAAGTTGTTTTTGTAAATTGAGTCCCAAACCCATATGTTTATAAGAGCAAACACCTTGAGCAGGATTAACTATGTGCAGGTATGGATATTCTGTTGCATTTTTTTCTAAATAAAATCTTATTTATTGGCTACCTATTTGCCTCGGTCCGATTGTGCTGTTGTAACAGAATAGCGCAGACTGGGTAATTTGTAACGAACATATATTTATTGGCTCACAGTTCCAGAGGTTGGGAAGTCCAATGTTCAGGGATCTGGAGAGGGCTTTCTTTTTGCATCATAGCATGGCAGAAGACATCACATGGCGAAGGCAAAGAGAAAGATGAGGACCAAACTTGCCCTTTTATAACATTACTCCATGCATGAGGGCGGAGCCCTCATGGCCTAGTCACCCTTTAAAGGTCCCATCTGTTAATACTGTTAATATGGCAATTAAATTTCAATGGGAGTTTTGGAGGGAACAAACATTCAAATCAGAGCACTAGTACAAACACAGGTGTATGAGCCTCACCTTACACATTTTGCCTTTTCTTTAGCAGATCAGGAAAGGAGAAGCAAAGTAGACAGCAAGCTGTGTTCTCTTCCAAGCAACCTCATTCATTATACAGTGGCTAATTTCCTTCTTCATGCCAAAGTAACTGCACCGTTTAAAGTGAAAAAAAGGAAGAAAGAGAGAGACAAGAAAAAGAAGGAGGAAAGAAAGAAAGAAAGAGGAAGGAAGGAAGGAAAGAGAAAGGAAGGAAGGAGAAAGAGAAAGAAAGAAAAGAGAAAAAGAAAGAGAAGGAGGGAGAGGGAGAGAGAGAGAAAGAGGAAAGAAAGAATGAATGAAAGAAAGAAGGAGGGGGAGAGAAAGAAAGGAAAGAAAGAAGGAAGAAGAAAGAAGGAAAGAAAGAAAAGAGAAAGAAAGAAAGAGGGAAAAGAGAGAGGGAGGGAGGAAGGAAGGAACAAAAGAAGGAAGGAAAGATACAAAAGAGAAGAAAAAAGTAAGTTTGTATAATAGATCTGATTCTCTCCTCCTCTATTATACACATTCAAGAGTGTGGTGTGGAAAAAAATAGAAATTTACACTTGACAAACAGCTTTGCTATCTCTAGTAATGAATTCATTTACTGTTTCCAAGCACCTATGACACTCATTTACCAAAAAGGAAAAATACAAGGGTCATAGATATAAATGTTTATTTTTTTCCTTATATGTAGAAACAAAATATTTACTAATGAAATTCTTGCTTCTTTTTTCTTGAGATGGAGTCTCACTCTGTCACCCAGGCTGGAGTGCAGTTGCACGATCTCGGTTCACTGCAACCCCCACCTCCCGGGTTCAAGCAATTCTCCTGCCTCAGCCTCCTAAGTAGCTGGGATTACAGGAGCATGCCACCACGCCCGGCTAATTTGTGTATTTTTACTAGAGACGGGTTTTCACCATGTTGGCCAGGATGGTCTCCATCTCTTGACCTCCTGATCTGCCTGCCTCGGCCTCTCAAAGTGCTGGGATTACAGGCATGAGCCCCGCACCCGGCCCTTGCTTCTTTAATTGAGGTTAGAGTCAATCCATCTTTACCAAGCTCTCCATTTCTCGCCATGATGGTGAGGTAATGTCCTTCTTCTCAGTGTGTAGGTGGACTAGCAAAATGGCATTACCTGGGAGCTTGTTAGAAATGCAGCATCTCAGAACCTTTCCCAGAATCAGCATTTTAACAAGTTTTCCAGGTAATTCAAATACACATTAAAGTTTGAAAAGCACTAAAGTAAGGCAGATGTAATAATAAGACAGCATTGGAAATTCATCTCAGATGGCATTATATGAAGCCTCATGATTCTGTCAGAATCTTAAAGCACTATGTGGGTGGTGATGGGGTGACAATATAAAGTAGCTGCAGTTTGCAGACCTGAGTCCTGCTCTGGGCAGTGTCCTCCCGATAAAGCCCCAGACTTCAAGAAATACATGCCTGCTGCCTGAAATACATGCCTACCGCCTTACCCTTGGGCTGAGGAAATCTCTCTGAGAGTCACATTCCACCCACTACCCCCCTCACTTGTTTCCATCATATTACTCTCTTCCTGGGACTCCTCTGCCTTCCTATAGATGTCTGGATGAGACGATGGAAGTGTCTCACTGCTTCTGCCCTTGACTCCCCTACACACCCTGCCCTAGGCCATGCCCCAGGAGACAAAGGAACTGGAACTGTGTATAACCCCGGGGCTAATTGCCCCAGATGGTGTTTTCCTCTGTGTCATCCTCTATTACCTTTACTCTGTCTTTTTTTTTTTTTTTTTTTTTTTTTTTGAGATGGAGTTTCACTCTTGTTGCCCAGGCTGGAGTGCAATGGCACAATCTTGGCTCACCGCAACCTCCGCCTCGTGGGTTCAAGTGATTCTCCTGCGTCAGCTTCCCGAGTAGCTGGGATTACAGGCATGCACCACCATGCCTGGCTAATTTTGTATTTTTAGTAGAGACAGGGTTTCTCCATGTTGGTCAGGCTGGTCTCGAACTCCTGACCTCAGGTGATCCGCCCACCTCAGCCTCCCAAGGTGCTGGGATTACATGCATAAGCCACCGTGCCTGGCCTACTCTGTCATCTTTCTTAAACCCATCTAGAGAAATATAATCGCTTTAAGCATTGTATTTGCTATTGTCTATTAGATCTGTCATTTTCCCATCAGGTTTTTTCTAAGTGTATCTTTGTTTTGAATCTTAAGGAAGGCTTGGTACTTAAAGGTAGCAGACCAGAAACAGGCAAACCATTTTGGTGTGATGCTGGGTTCTCCTTAACCATGAGAACAACCAATAGCATCACATTTTTAAAACTTTATTCAGTCATTCATTTTCAATACATGTTATTGAGCTCCTATTTGTCCATGGAGTGCAACAAAACTCTTATTCCGTGGAGTGCAACAACAACAAAAAAATTGTCCTTATGAAGACTCATTCTAATGGAAGAAGCAGTCAATAAACACATAAACATATAGCTAAATAATACTATTTCAGATAATGTGTTAGGCTATGAAAAGAATATAATAATGGGAAAGAACAACTGGGTATAAATTGTGACCCTTTACCTTGAGAAGTCAGGGAGGAACTGTGTTTTGTGTCATTTGAGCTCAGATATAAATGATTAGATGGAGGCAACTATTCAAATATCTAGGACAGGTGTTTCAGGCAGTGATGACAGCAAGAGCAAAGGTCCTGAGGCAGATCCTGTTATGATAAACACTTGGGGTGAGTAAGGAAGGGGAGAGAGGGAGAAAAGATGACTAAAACAAGCACTTGGCCTCAAGTCTCTGGGAGTCAGTGGAATGATCTAGGCATGATAGGAGGAAGAGGGAGAAAATATTGGAAAGTAGAGAAGAGAGAGCAAGAGGTAAAGGAAAGAAATCAGAAAGACATAAGAGTGGTAGGAGATGGCCAACTACAATTCACTGCCCAAGCCACTGGCCAGCACGAGTGCAGCGGGCTCCCTACTGGGAGTCTGTGACCAAAGAGAGTGTGTTTCTTCTTTGGAGGGAGGAGAGCTGCAGAAGGAAAATATACTAATAAGCTAGAGGCAAAGCAGGCCCTTAGTAACAAGAAATCTTCTGAAGAGAGAACTTAGGAATCAGATTCTAGCAAAGATATAAGCTGGAATTTTCAAGCTCTGTTATTTTCAGAGGTTATAAGGACATCTCAGAGCCTCCTACTCTGAGAGTTCTCACAGTCCTGGGCAGCATTCACACAAACAGGTCGGTGTATGAATATATGAGGGTATGTGTATATCCTGTGTGTTGAGATCGTTGGGGGTGCCTGGGCAGAGGAAAAGAAGAAGGGAAGGCCATTAAAAGCCTTGCTGAGAAAGGTATTTCTTGTGGACAAAAAAGAATCAGGCCCCTCGCTCCCTACTGAGCCCATTTCTCCTGCCTTTACCCGAGCTGTCAGGCATGAATCCCTGTAGCATTCCGTAACTAATTGATAGTAATGGGGGCCATTGGGAGTCTAAGAATACGTGGCATTACCCGGCATGCATTGGAAAGAAGGGGGGCTGCCTCAGGGGCAGCTGTGGAGAAAATAAAGGCTGCATTTTCAACTTTTTTTTTTCCTTAATTGAAGGTAGGAGGTAGAAGTAGGGAGGAGCAGATTTAGGCAAACCTCTCCTCTAGCTTAAAAATAAAAAAAATTGCAAATCTCATTTCTTATCCTGAGCTAATATCCCAGGATACTATGTCTGCCACACAGAAGAAACAGATGGAATTTCAATTAACCCCAGGGCCCCCTGTGAAATCTATATTGTACCCTCTGGATTTACAACACATTGTTAATATATGACTGCAGGCTCTGGAGATTCCATCACAAATCAACCCCCTTTATTCCAGAGGTTCAGAAAACTACTACAAAAGCCCACTTCAGAATCAAAAGTGGACAGTTTCTTACAACTTCATCTTCAGAGTTGAAACCCAATTTTAATTTTATAACAGTTTATTTACTGAGCAGTCCCCATGTTTTTATAAGAGAAAACATTTATTTTTTTTCCTTCTATGAATGATGATAATGACAGACTAAAACTATTTATGCCAAAAAGAAAATTGGGAAAAGATACACCATTACCACACCTTGATGAATGATTCACCATAAACTCACAGTCAATTATCATCCAAAGGATTTTTATATTTAAAAAAATTATGCCTTTATAGAATGTAGTCTTTAATACTAAAGATATTTGAAATCAAAATAAAAGCAGTTACTTTTCCTATTAATATCACATGAAGTTGTAAATTTTGCAATAATGTTAAGAATTCCAAGTGGTTTTTCAAAGTCAGGATTGTTTATAAACCTATGGTTCTGACTTTTATGTCTTTTATTATTGGCCTCACCTTTCTGAATTTATTCTTCATTTCAAAAATAATATTTGCATAAGTCTTCAACTTCTCACACCCACAAAAACTTTCAAAATTAATTTTGACCTTTCGATATTATGGAAAAATTTTCTGTGCATTTTTCTTACAAGACTACTTTTCCCTAAAATTATACGTCAACTCAAATCTTGCATCACCTTCTGCAGAGATGAATTGTCCACATTCAGTAGTACAGACTCCTTTTCTCTCCAGGTTGCTGTTGTGTTATCCAGCTTATTTTACGAAAAATTTGCCTCTGAACCCCTGGGGACTATCTCTAGGAAATTAGATCAGCAAACTTCCTGTATTTTGAGAAAAATAACTTTGGAGAATTGAAATGTGTCTTTTTAAGGGATTGCAATATGATGTGAAGGCTCCTCCTCATTCCAAGGTAACCATGAGGGACTGAGGACATAGGCTGCCCTCAGAAATACAATCTATTAGACTCAGAGATGTTGAGAGCTGGGCAGAGTAAAAAGAGCCATCATTCAGACAGCTAAGATATTGTTTGTCCCCACTTTGCCATTTCATGAAGGTAAATAAGGCAGTCACTGGAATGTTCCTCTCCAAATTGTCAGAACAGAGGAGTTTTCCAGCCTGATTTTCTTTCCTCCACCAAATGCACAGCCTCGCAGGACCACTGGGGAAACTTCTTTCTCCCTGTGTCTACCATTGTATAGCTAGGCCAGCAGGGGCCATGACACAGTGAGAGCTTGTCAAATCAAACAGAGCTTGGTTGTGGCACAGGGACTGGGGGCCACCAAGGAGGTTCAAAGAAATGGTAGATTTGTTCTTCAGGCAGGTTAGGAACATTGGCTCAGAGGCTGGAAGAAGTTTCTTCTAGTGGAACAAGCTCCTCTTATTTTTAACGAAGTTGGTTTATACCCTTAAACCACCCTTAAATCAGAAAAAAAGTGGTGATTTTAAATAGGCTGAACATTTGCCTGCTTTGGACATCTTAATATCAGGCAATCAGAGGTCATTTTGATGCAATCATTGAGGTTTATTTCCTCATCTGAACAAAAACATGGATTTGTTATTAAACCCAGACTAGCATTCATTTAACCTGTCTCATTTCCATCTTAGATATCATTTATTCTGGAAAGAAAAAATATGTGGTCACTTAAAAATAATATACAAACCACATGTTAAGATTGACTGAGTTTTTGTTTGCTTTTTTAACCTTTTGTGTGTGCTTATTATATATAAATAATAGAAGTCGATTCTTCTATAATACTTTCTATGTGCCAGGCACTATTCTAAATGCTTTATGTGCAATAATTATCTAATAATCACAATAGTCATCTAATAATCACAATACTGTATGAGGTATTATTATCGCCTTTTTCCAAAGAGAGAATATTAATGACACAGTATTTGGAATATGTTTGCTTCTTAGCCTTTAGAGGTTATGGCAGGGATCACGTTTTCTGATCCCTGATCATTCACAGAATTGAAAGTGACATCTTTCAAAACATAGTCAGTATGGTTCCTCTTCTTCCTTCCCATCCCCCTTGCCCACCACCTGCCACCTCTCCTTCTAGTCTGTCCTGAATTCTGCACTCTATTTTCAACTTCTTATTTGAGGCTCCTTCACTTGCAGTCTTCCTGTTTTTATTTTTGTGCTATTAATTTCATGTTCCAACACCACCAGAAGTTAAGGCAAGATGAAAGAGGAAGGAAAGGACAATATAGGAGGTATTCTAAAGTCATCTGGAAAACTTCATTATTGGATTCAGTAGGAAAAGTATACTGACGAGCTCAATTGAAAACATACATGATTGGTGAAATTTTTTGCTATTACCTTACCTTTTCCTTACTTTTTTTTTTCTGGGTTGGTTTTACTGTTTTACCATGATTTTTCCCCGAGATTCAAACAGAAATCTATTTTCCCATCAGTTTTTCCCAAAAGTCTTCACTCAGCCTTTCCCACAGGTATCTATTCCTTTCTCACTGCCAAGCCCGTGTTTATTATCTTGGCTTGAAATTGTTCTGTCTTCATTTGCCTTATGCATATCTTAGCCTCAGAACCAGGTTCCTAGGAAAATGGCAATTGTTTTTTTTTTTTTTTTTTTTGCAGATTCTACAGTTTTGTTTTGTAAGTTAGACAAATTTGTTGAGCTGAATTAGGGAGAGTGTGATATATACATGCCATATTTCCCTGAAGTATGGTTGCTGAGTATGAAAGCACTGAACTGATTGGAAAACTGTGCCAAGTAAATGAAATATTGCAGCAGGAATAGGAGAAACATTGATCTGGACTGGGCCAGAGGCTGGCATAAAGAAAGACAATCTTAGGTGGGGACAGAAGCCAGCAGCAAAGAAGATCTGGAGTCAAGCTTAGGCCCCTGTCGTAGTGGGACCATATGAGGAAGCCATCTAGAATTTTGGAAGAGGCTGAGGCTAAGGTTACAGCCCAGAAGTAAGATTGAGTTTCCTCTAGGCCAGAGAAGACATATTTTCTGTAGCATTTGTAGGGAAGAGTCCAGGAGAAACGTCTGCACTGAGAATGGAAAACACACTCCTGGGACAGTAGAGGTGAAGATTCTCAAGGAAAAGCAGCGATGATGGCTGAGTCACTTGCCAGGAATGTTTGATTGCACTGTTATGACAGAACTTATTCCAGGACCTCATTTTTGTGGTTTCAACAACTCTTCATTTATTCTCTGAAGATTGTCTTTCATACCATAGGTATGAGTTTTGGCCTTTCATCCTCTTTCTCCCTGAAAGCTCTAAGGGAATCATTGTTTAAGGAGGATCAAATTCTGCTTGTGAGAGCAGTCCTTGCAGACTGACCTGAGCTTGGGACCAGGCACCGTTGCAATGATGGCCACTCAGGCCCAACAATGTTACTATTTCACACCATATCTTTTTCTACATACAGACATACCTTGGAGATATTGGGGGTGTGGTTCCCAACCACTGCAATCAAGTGAATATCACAATAAAGCAAGTCACAAAAAATTCTGGGTTTCCCAGTGCATATTTATTGCTAAAAATGCTGATGATCATCTGAGCCTTCAGCAAGTCATAATCTTTTTGCTGGTGGAGGGTTTTACCTCGATGTTGACAGCTGCTGACTGATGAGGGCAGTGGTTGCTGAAGGTTGGGGTGCCTGCAGCAATTTCTTAAAATAAGACAACAACAAAATTTGCCTGAATTGACTGATTCTTCCTTTCACAATAGATCTCTCTGTACCGTGACATGCTGTTTGGTAGCATTTTACTCACATTTATTTCAAAATTGGAGTCAATCCTCTCAAACCTGCCACTGGTTTATCAACTAAGTTTATGCACTATTCTAAATGCTTTGTTGTCATTTCAACAATGTTCACAGCATCTTCACCAGGAGTAGATACCTTACGAAGAAACTACTTTCTTTGCTCAGCTGTAAGAAGCAACTCATTCAAGTTTATCATGAGATTGCAGCAATTCAGTCACATCTTCAGGCTTTACTTATAATTCCAGCTCTCTTGCTATTTCTACCACATCTGCAATTACTTCCTCTACTGAAGCCTGGAACCCCTCAAAGTCATTCATGAGGATTAAAATTAGCTTCTTCCAAACTCCTGTTGATATTTTGACCTCCTCCCATGAATCAAGAATGTCTTTAATAGCATCTAGAATGGTGAATCCTTTCCAGAATGTTTTCAATTTACTTTGCCCAAATCCATCAGAGGAATCACTCTCTATCGCAGCTATTGCCTTGCAAAATTTATTTCTTTCAAAATAAGGCTTGAAAGTAGAAATTACTCCTTGATCCTTGGGCTATAGAATGGATTTTGTATTAGCAGGCATGTAAAGAACATTAATCTCTTCGTACATCTCCATCAGAGT